>NC_000003.12:84252424-84555454 GCF_000001405.40 Homo sapiens
CCTTTCATCATCAGGTACCGGAGGTAACTGGCAAATACAGGGCTGAATACACAACTCAAACTTAACTATGTCGCTTAATGTTAGAGTCATAATAGATTCAAACTGTCACCAAAAATCATGTTAAGTCTTCCAATCATATTATCTGTGACTCTGCCACTCTTTGGAATGCTTAGCCAGCACCCCCTCTTTATTTGGGTCAAGACTTATAGTACTCTCTCTGCTTTGCCTAAAATCAACAGAAAGTCAGCTTTCCTATCTTTGGAACTCCCAGAACGCTTGATTCAAATCTCTATTATGTGGTATTATGTACAGTCACACTCCTTATAATGATCTGTAAGTCAATAATGCATAGCGTATATGATAGGGGTCTTAGAACATTATAATGAAGCTGAAAATCTTCTTTCACTTGGTAAGATTGTAGCCATTGTAATGCTGTAAAGCAAGGCATTACTCCCTTGTTTCTGGTGACGCTGGTGTAAGCAAACCTACAGCACTGCAAGTTGTAAGAAAGTAACACACAGACGATTATATATGCTATATAGTACCAGATAATAATAATAAATGAGTATATTACTGGTAGATGTATTTACTGTGATATACTAAAAACTACCATTATTTTATGGTGCATTCCTTCTACTTTTGAGGAAAAAAATAACTGTAAAATAGCCTCAGGTAGACCCTTTAGGAGGTATTCCAGAAGAAGGCATTGTTTTCACAGAAGATGACAGTTCCATGCATGTTATTGGCCTGAAGATCTTTCACTGGGGCAAGATGTGGAGGTGTAAAACAGTGATATTGATGATGGTGACCCTGTGCAGGCCCAGGCTAACACGTAGGTTTGTCCCTTAGTTTGAAACAAAAAAGTGTAAAAAGTAAAAAGAAACAAGTTAATAGAATAGGATATAGAAAAATAAAATATTTTTGTACAGCTGTCCAATTGTTTGTGTTTTAAGCTAAGCATTATTATGAAAGAGGTAAAAAGTTTAAAAAGAAGTCTACAAGGTAAAAATGTTACAGTAAACTAAGGTTAATTTAGCAATAAAAAATTAATACATTTAGTCTAGCCAAAGGTTACAGTGTTTATAAAATCAACAATAGGGTAATGTCCTAGGTCTTCACATTCACTTGCCACTTACTGACTCACCCAGAACAACTTCCAGTCCTGAAAGTTTCTTTGGGGTAAGGGCTCCATGCAGATGTACAATTTTTCATCTTTTATACTGTAGTTTTACTGTACCTTTCTGTGTTTAGAGATGTTTAGATATATTAATACCATTGTGTTATAATTGCTTACAGTATCCAGTACAGTAACATGCTGTACAGGTTTGTATCCTAGGAGCAATAGGTTATACCACATAGCCTAAGTGTGTGGTAGGTTTTGCCATGTTTGCAAAAGGACAAAATCACCTAACCACACATTTCTCAAAATACCTTCCTATCAGTGACACATGACTGTATTTTGGCCACCTTCACTAGATTGCAAGCTCTTAGTTGAGCATAGACCCATGAATTATTTATCTTTATGGTTATAGCAGTTATCACAGCTCCTGTTATGTAACAAGTGCTTGATAATTTTAGTTAAATAAATACGCTAACCAAGACAATTTACATCAGTGCCACCTTTTACATTGACATATGTAATTGGCTATGAGACTGCTTTAATGTACACAAGGAAAATCTAAGTATTTGAGCAATGGAATCTAAATTAATTTATTTAGAAAGGTTTAATATCTATATTACAATATGAATCAAAATCTTATATGGTGACAAAGCATAAAGGAATTTTCTGTAGAAGTTGGCTTAAAGATAATGACGATTATTTTCAAGAGGGAAGCCAAAATATGCTTAATATAGTCTGTCCTAAAAGAAACCGTGTAAAAATAAACAAACAAGTATAAAGCCCCAACCACTTACAATCCCTCTTAAAATATTTACTTAAATTCTTATCAATGATTAAAAATCAACAACAAAAGGGAGATCACTGTAGTATACCTTTTGCCAATAGCATTATCCAACATAATTACATAAAAATGTGAACTATCAAAGATAACACTTTTAATTTCCTGCATAAAGTGTCTATACATGGCTAGTTACATAAATTATCTTTTGCCTTTAGGCTAAAATGATAATGGATTGTTGTGAGATAAAGTACAGTATTATTGAGATACCAGATTCATGCTTCAGGAAGATTTCTGTTATGTCATTTATAAATCTTGAATACAAAGATACCTTCACTTAATTCATCAACCTTGTTATAGGTAACCATGGCCTAAGGAGAAAGTAAGCTGTACTGTTATGAAAGAATCCTGAATCCACCATTTACTAGGTGTGTAACTTTAGGCAATACATTAAACCTCTTTGTCTCATTTTAGCTCTCCCCTTTAAAAGGAAAATGCTGATAAATACAGCGTCATTATGAAGAGCAAATGAAATAGGATAAAACTAGCACATGTGTCTCTATGGCACATTGCCCAACTAAAGTATCAGTAAACAAAATCCAAATTTAAACAATTTTGTGTTAAAATCATATCTTATTACAACCTCCACTATTTGCATCGTTGTTCATTTGCAGAGAACATAGTTATATGGGTTTATACTTGCTTGTTGAGGAGTCAGTAATGATTTGGACAATGTATTGAGGGAGTCCCAAAATGTTATTAGTCACATTCCCATCATCATGTACACCCCCAAAGCTCCCCAAATATCTTTATAATCCATATTTTTCTTTAAATATTCATCTATCTATAATGCTGTTATATCACCTTTGGAATCCTCTAGCCTACTGATGTTATGACATAGTTCCTCAAAGATGGCACTAAGCATACAATGCAACAGTTGGGACTAGAGCATTTCTAATTCCTAGGACAGTTGCTTTGTCATCTGGTCTTCTGGTATCTGTAAGAGTTTTGAAAATTTGAAACCACAACCTTTATATCAAGCCTCAAATGTTTTTCTCAGATAGTTTCTTGATGTTGAGCCTTATGCAAGTTTATTTTTAGCCTTAAAACGGGGAACAAATAAAGTTCATCTTTCTGTCACCTAAGAAAGCAACTGTTGCTATGTAAATTGATAGCATGAGCATCATTGAAAACATGTAACAAAATACATAGGATGGCATTGATTTTTATATTAAGAAAGCAAAGTACAAATTTTAATTATTTATTCATTGTTGCACATCTGATAGACTCATCTGTTATTTATTTGTCAAAACTTCCAACTATTTCTCAGGTATTTGTTTCTCGACAATAGATCACAAACTTTCTTTCCATCCCCTGCCTTCCCAAAATGGATGATTCTATGTTAATGTGTCCCATCCAACACCATGACTTTGATTTCCAAACCTCTTGCCCTCTCCACCGTTAATGAACTTTCCCAATTCATGTCTAACACTAGCCATCAGATTTATACTCTGAGATACTGTAACTGCTTAATCTCCAAAATGACTAACTCAAGAATCCCTTCTCTTATCACAGTCTTCTCTATGAAAATTTTTCTATTGGCTCTAGGAAAAGGAAGCTAATTTCATTTCAGTTTCATTTCAATAGCCTGGTAATCTGATAAATATTATGGAAACTATGTTTTGCTACTTATGGGGTTTATTTTTTAATTTATTTAAAAAACCATGCCTGACAGTATACATGCAAACCTTATACTTAATTAAATAATGGAGTTAACAAAATATTCCTAATTATAATCACAAGTTTTTCATCAAAAATAAAAGAAAACTATGCATATATAACCAAAGTTTTGAAAATGGCCACATGCCAGTAATTAATCAGTCTTTATAGTTACTTTTTGAATTTAAGATATGTTTTATGCTATAAACCATGATACTAACTTTGTGAATTATCCATCAAAAATCTTTAAATAAAAAATGTATAACCATATGGCAAAAACCAATCTAATCTTATCGTGTGAATATATAATATTTTCCCTCTGTTACATTTTCATGTATAATAAATATGCATTCTTTTATGCTATAGTGTATCTCATTCATGAGAATTTGTTTGACAAATATGATTCAATCTGCATTACGAACAATTCGATGCTTCCTTTATTATGACTGAATGTTTTAATATATGTTTCTCATAATCCTGCAATCACTTACCAAAGCTGTCCTCTATATGTACAATCTTTGGATGAATATAGTTCAAGTAATAATTCATGGGGCCCAATGTTTAAATCTGATTGGTACAATAAACAGGAATACCATCCATTACAGAGTAACAGAATTTTATCCCAATAATTTCATTTGAAATAATTTGTATTCTACGTTTACTTGTTTTGTTTTTATGTAAAATTTTGTTCTACCCCAAATCTTATTAGATTTTAGTTCACAGCTACGTAAGTTATCCTTATTTCCATAACACTCAGAAATGCATCAGTAGTGTCTTCTGCTTTTTTTGGTTTGTTTGTCTGTTGGCTTCTTTGCCTTTTAGTTTATATTTTTCAACAAAAAAGACATGCAAGTTGCCAAAACTGAATAATTTAATTTGCTTCTAGTAAAGGGGAGCAGACCTCCCCCCAACTCAATGTAAATAACCATTTTAAACTTTTTGGTAAGGAATTTCTGATGATTATATCCACTCATCTATATTTTGGTTATACCACCCATTATTTTTTTAAATTTAGCAGCTATAAACATTATCTATTAACTCTCTCTGCAAAAGGTGGTAATCAGCTATCCCTTTGAACCTCATCCTCTTCTGCCTTTCATTTTTATAAAGTTAGTATTTTATTTTATACGGAAATCTTCCTTGAAAATTTTTGAAACTTAATATGATGCTTAACAATTTATCTGTAAAGTAATCATTTATTTGGATGTTAAGGCATTGACACATTTTTCTGTAGTAATTTCTAAATATTATTTAAGGAAAATTTCAAAGGTTTTAATTTGGCCTCTGAGAGCTTCCAATTCTTAAAATAAACTCGTATAGTGATAGTAGTAAAAACATCATTAGAATTTATATTTCCTACATATTGAATGTCTATAAGCTATAGATTTGTGCTTAATTCTAATGCTATAAAACTTATAACTATAGATTTTTTAGGTTAGAATCACTTCCTAAAAGCACAATACAACATCTGATGAGCAATTGCTATTTAACATGATTCTACTTTATTGAAAATAACTTTTACATCCCAAAATATTAACTTTGTATTTGCAGTTTAGTAGTTTTTCATTTTATGTGTCAATAAAGCTATCTAAATTATAAACTAGTAAAAGTTTTATAAAGTTGTCTTGCCAAAAAATTCTCTTTACCTAGCTTACCAAATAAAATCTTATTCTCATATTCTCCAAACTTTGTACTAGCTTACCAAATAAATTATTATTCTCGTAGTTCTGAATTTTCTCTATCTTCGTCTCATCTGATTCCTTAAGTTTGGCAAACTGGTAAATGATTGTGGTGGGCGAAGCAGACAGTTTGTAATCCTGTCTTTACTAGTAAAATTCATTTGTCTAAAGTCAGTATTCAGAAATATAATTGATTGTATATCAAATATTTCATTTCTCCCTCTTTCTCTATATCCCCTCTCTGCCTCTTTCTCCCTCAGTCTCACTCTATATTTTTTCTTTGTAAATGTTCAGAATACATTTAGTACTATATATCAGCAGTGTTTTGGAGTTTTATTTGTTGGCCCTTGAACCAATAAATTTATACTTTATTCCAAACCGCTATTTGAAACATGGAAACATATTATAAATTACTTATTTACTTATCTTTGCAATAGAAATTAACTCCAAAATAATATAGCTGAAGCCCTACTAGAAGACAGGGTTTTGCCAGCAGATTTATTTTAAAAGTTAGATGGTTTTTTGTTTGGTTTTCTTTTCTTTTCTTTTACACTGCATGACCAGAGCTTTCAAATGCATTTTGCTCCTGACAATGCCAACTTTTACCCATCACTTCTGATTAAAAATCATGTGTCCCTTGTGTGTGTGTGTGTGTGTTTGTGTTTATGCACACTTTACTGGAAAAGTAGAGAAAGATGTTTCCTACTTATATTTTGTTTAATCATTTCTCTTTTCTGAATATTTTTTTCTGGAAATTCCAAGACTTTGAAACTTAGATAAATAAACTTTTCATTTATTTTATCTATTTCAGTAAATGTATTTCAGATGTGCATTATTCTTTTCTGGTTTTAATAATTAAATGAGTGCATGCTTCATAATAAATGCCTTTACTCACTAATAGCAATATGTGAATTTGTGCTTTAGAATACATTTTGTTTTATAGAAAATTATGACTTTTCTTACCATTGTACTAATGAAAAGCTAACACCCATTAAACAAGGGAAAGGTTATTCTATTGCATATTTTTTACTTTAAATTATTTCTGAATGCATTTCTAATTTTAAATATCTCCCACTGTTTGAGAACATTGCAAACCATTTTAAGCAGGAGAAATGTTAGTAAAATCAATGATATGTTATTTCATCAAACTTAAATATTTTGCTTAAACAAAATATTTAAAACCTTGGTAAATGTAATCATGGATAAACATAAATTTCAATGGAAGATGGCCCACAGGAACTAATTTTAAGGAGAAGTAAAATGTAAATCTTTAATTCCTTTATTGCAATTCAAAAGACTTTCATTCTGCTTATAATTAAGCTTCATTTTACTGTAAACACTTTTATTATCTCAGTGCTCCAGGTAGTCAACAGGGTTTAGAATCTCTGTTTACTGCCAGGCAAAATAAAAATTATAAGCTTTCAGCATTATCCATTAAAGAAACACATGAAGTTTATCTGTTGAGATGGCTGATATCACCAATTGACATTCTCTGATAAATGTCATAGTATAGAAACTAATTATTTTAATTTTTAAAATTTTTACATATGTCTCTTTAGGTGTCATTTTGGATCTGTTTGGAAAACGGAAGAGAAGAAACCTCGATTAAACACATCCTCATTTCCTGTTCACTGATTTACTATATCATCCATCAGATTTTGTCATCAAGCATCTAAAACAACATGCAAAAAAACCAAAGCATACGCTTTTTAAGTTAAAAAAATAGCAATCTATTACTATTTTTTAAAATCAGTAGCAGAAAGTTGAGTTAGGTAAGGACACATTTGATGAAGAAAGTTCTCTTAAAGCAAGCAGCACTGTTTCCATTCCCCATTACGAAGATTTGAAATGTATGTCAGACCCACTCTTTTTTGCTCTGATTTATGTGACTTACTTGATAGACAGCTCCCAGTCAAATTGAGATATATCAGTCAGAATGATTTTTGACAAATTAGTACCAATATAAAATTGATTTCTTATATATAACATAGAATTGTATAAAAGATGAATTTTTAAAACAATCATATAATTTTTATGATAATACATCAATGTTACTAGAAATGACAACGTTCATTTCACATGGTCAGTTTTGTTAAAAGAAGAAAATAGAGTATAAATTGATTTTGTCTGTTTGCAAAATCACATTCTTTAAAATGGTTAAATCTAAATTCTTTTGAGGTAAAGGACTGACAGTACTCTTAATATGGACTATTGTCTTTAGAAAATTACCCCTTACCTATCCTACTCTGAAAAATGTGGTGGAATTTACATTCAAAAATGCAAAATAAAATTTATATGATACTTTATGCTATAGATTGAATGTTTGTGACCCCCCAAATTTATATGTTGAAATTTATCCCCAATATGATAGTATTTGGAGGTAGGGTCTTGGGAGATTATTTGGTTCTCAGAATGAAGTGCTTGTGAATGCTATTAGCACCCTTACAAAAGAGACCCCAGAGAGAACCTCACCCATTCTACCATGTGAGGACACAGCAAAAAATGTGCCATTAAAAACCAGAAAGCGAGCCCTCACCAGATAACAAATCTGACAGTGCCTTGATTTCGAACTTTCCGCCTCCAGAACTGTGAGAAATAAATTTCTGCTGTTTATAAGCCACACATTCTACTGTGTTTTGGTTATAGCACCTCAGACTAGACACAGAACATGCTAAATTCACCAGAAAAAAAGCATCTCTGGGATTAATTCTTCCCCAGGCTGTTAGAAAATAGAATCCATATGTGCCAAGAAAATTGTCTCTTGATCTAAGCAAAGCTCTTCACTGTTTTTCTTCACAAGAATATTAGTCTATCAAATCTAAGATATCATCCAATAAAAATGCATGATGAATCCATATATTAAAATGTGAATGAACATGCATCTAAGGAATAATGAAATATAATAGAAAGGGAGCTAATAAAAGACTACACCCTTAGGACAAACAAACAGCAGTATTAACAACAAAAGAATTTGGTTTACTTAATGTGGTCAAATAACCACAAAAAAACAAGTCAGTGGCAGCTTGTATTCAAGCAGTGCATTTCTCATAAATAAATTGTACTCTTCCCTCAACACTTATACTGTCCACGTAACTGTGTTTTTAAAAAGGGTGTGACAGTTTTAGATGCAAAGTGAAAAATATATCTCCTGAATATCTTTTTTTTTTTTTTTTTTGAGATGGAATTTCACTCTTTTTGCACAGGCTGGAGTGCAATGGCGTGATCTCAGCTCACTGCAACCTCTGCCTCCCTGATTCAAGCGATTATCCTGCCTCAGGCTCCCAAGTAGCTGAAACTACAGGCACCTGCCACCATGCCCAGCTAATCCTTTTTTTTTTTTTTTTTTATTAAAGATGGGGTTTCACCATGTTGGTCAGGCTGGTCCTGATATCTTGACCTCAGGTGATCCACCTGCTTTGGCCTCCCAAAGTGCTGGGATTACAGGCATGAGCCACGGCGCCCAGCCTTTCCTGAATATTTTTGACAATGAAATGTTTAAAAACATATTTTAATGAGCAAACCCGTAGTATTACTATTAATAACAAACAGAACAATGTCAAAAATACACATCACATAATTCCATTTCCAAAGTAAGAAAATCCATAGAAACGAAAAGCAGATTAATGATTTCCCAGGGTTTGGTGGAGGAGAGAATGAGGAATGATTGGCTTCTTAACAGGAATGTTTCCTTTTGGAGTAATGAAGTTTTCTGGAACTAGAAAATGGTGATGGTTGAATAACAATTGCAAATGTGCTACATGATACTGATAAAAAATTATGTTATGTGTATTTTACCATTAAATGCATTAAATTAAAAAGGGGGTGGGAGGATTTTTCCTTTAAACTATTTTTTTCTCATGGTGTATGTGGGATTCAACTTACGTATTATATTTTCGTTGTTTCTTGCTAAAAGAGATTACATGATCAAATAATATTAGAATAATCTTAATTAAATAAATTGAATGAGATTTTAGCTTTAAAATAATAATGACAAAAAACTTGGGTGTGTCATCACCTTCCCATAGTTTCAGACTTACTTAATTTCCCAAAAAAAATGATTTATTGCTTGATAATAAATTGTAGCATATAAAATGTATCATAACTTTTTAGATTGCTACCAAAATGTAACTCTTTCACCTATACAAGTACTAATTTTGATTTCTATGTTATGATATTTGTGTTAAGGACTGAAAGATCAAATTATCATTAATAGACTACTTTTGGGATAACCATATGCATATGGTATACATCTTTTTGGCTGAGTCTTCTACAATACCAAAAGGAATAGAATTTTATTCTGGAATTCAATACTGGCATTATCCCTTTGAGTTATCTGCAAAATAATTGTTTAGTTTCTTTTGTTTTCTTTTTAGTTGTGTCACCAGTTCTGTGACAATCTCAACACAATCACAGGAGAAGCACAGTGGATGGCTGCCATTTATGTCAACCTTCAGCTAAACCTCGGCTTTAAGTTTTATTTAAGATTCGCAACAAAAGTTGACCCAGCATACTATGAAAACAGACTTTTCTCTCATGTTCTTCAGGGTATACTGTACACCTTCTTCCTGAAAACCCCTGCACAGATGCTCCAAAAAGCATATGTTCTGTTTCTTCTATCAATATTTTTGGATCATCCTTCAATCTTTATAAATGTATTTTAATCTTACCTCCAGTGGCATCCTTCACTTAATTTTTTCATTTTTATGGGTTAAGATATTTCTGGATTTTCAAAAACAGTTTTTACTTATGAAAATTTTATGAATACCAAAATGTATAATCTTCCTATAGTATTAGTCCCCCAGTTTTTTGCCATAATATAATTATGTTTTTTAATGTTTATAAGACTGAGATTATGTGATCATGGTCCAAAATAAAGATTGTCTTATGTAAAGGTCATTATCACACATATTACAAGAAAGAAAGTCAGTTTAGATAGAGAATTGTATATATTAAGCTGCTCTGTAGATTGTAACCAATATGATACGACTGTATCAGAGTTCTAGAAAACACCAATTAAGAAAAATTTGCCATGATTTGGCATAAATATTTTATGTGAAATCACCATCTAATCATTTATAAATAAATGACAACCTCTCTTTCCTGTTCAATTTTTATATTTTACTGTAGAAATTGCTAGAGATTTCTCAAGAGGGCCTGTATAATAGCAGTCAAGTCCCAGATGGCCTGGAGGTCTACTTAAAACAGAGTGTTTCTGAATATTTCTCAGGAGTAAATCTAACTTATTTACTGATTCTATTATTCAGTGACAAATATTTAGTATTTATTAAGAACACTTACGATACTAGCATACACATAACTGGTAGCTGGTTCTCTCTGGTCCACAATTGATAGTGCCTTAATTGTTCTGTTTTAAAGCCTCCCATTTTCTGTAGAAATTCCAGAAGGAAGATAAATGGTTGAGGAAGACTTGGTTCATCACCTGTGAAATCATTTCATAACAGACAGTTGTAATTAGGAAAATAAATGCAAACCTATAATTTCTTGTTCACATATCATTTTGAAAGTGTGGATTTAGGCCAAATCATGGCAAATTTTTCTTAATTGGTGTTTCTAGAACTCTGATACAGTCGTATCATACTGGTTACCATCTACAGAGCAGCTTAATATATACAATTATCTATCTAAACTGACTTTCTTTCTTGTAATATGTGTGATAATGACCTTTACATAAGACAATTTTTATTTTGGACCATGATCACATAATCTCAGTCTTCTAAAGTTACCATTAAAAAACATAATTATATTATAGCAAAAAACTGGGAGACTAATATTATAGGAAGAATATACATTTTTGATATTCATAAATTTTTCAAATGTAAAAACTGTTTTTGAAAATCCAGAAATATCTTAACCCATAAAAATGAAAAAATTAGGTGAAAGATGCCACTGGAGGTAAGATTAAAATACATTTATGAAGATTGAAGGATGATACAGAAATATTGATAGAAGAAACAGAACATATGATTTTTTAAGCATCTGTGGAGGGGTTTTCAGGAAGAAGGAATAAAGTATACCCTGAAGAACATGAGAGAAAAATCTGTTTACATAGTATTTTGGGGCAACTTTTGTTGCGAATCTTAAATAAAATTTAAAGCCGAGGTTTAGCTGGAGGTTGACATAAATGGCAGCCATCCATTGTGCTTCTCCTGTGGTTGTGTTCAGAGTATCACAGAACCAGTAACACAACTAAAAAGAAAACAAAAGAAACTAAACAATTATTTTGCAGATAATTTAAAGGGATAATGCCCATATTGAATTCCAGAATAAAATTCTATTCCTTTTAGTATTTGTAGAAGCCTCGCCAAAAAGACATATACATATGGTTATCCCAAAAGTAGTCTATTAATGATAAGACTTTCAAGGAAACAGCTTTCCTGTTGCTTGCCTGATATTTGAAGAAAACAATAGCATGGAAGATAAAGGCCAGTTATACAAACAGAAAAAAAAAGAAAGAACAAGCAGGCAAGCAAGCAAACAAACAAAAGCAACAACAAAACCCAACCAAACAAGCAAAATACAAGAAGAAAGAGATAACTTGAGGAACAGAGAAAACAAGAAATTTGAAGCAAAAATTACAGAAATCATTGAGGGGATAACATTTCAATTAATCAAAGAGAAGAGGCTAATTCAAATGTGAAAATTAATAGAATTAAGGAAAAGAAATTTGAAGAACATAACTGCTAGATGACAGTGATAGGTAAAATAGCAGTGCTAAAAGATGTAGTTCATAATTCCATTAGCTCTCAGACTGCACTAGACATCCAAAAAGAAAATATAGAGATAGGAAAAGAGAAAGAGAATATTTTCAGTCCAAATGGTCTACCATGGATGGAGTAGAATAAATAAAATTTTAGTGACCCTGAGCACATCATTATGAAATTTAAAAAATATATACAACATCTTTATTGAGATAAAATTAACATGCCATACAATTCACCCATTTAATTGTTTTTAGTATATTTACAGACCTAGCCAATCACCCTACAATCAATTTTAGAACGTTCTATCACCTTAAAAGGAAGCCTCATAACCATAACAGTTACTCTCTGCTTTACCCAATTCCACAGCCCTAAGCATGCACTATTCTTCCTTTCTTCTTTCTTTCCTTCCTTCTTTCTTTCTTTTTCTTTCTTTCCTTCTTTCTTTCTTTTTTCTTTCTTTCTATCTTTCCTTCCTTTTCTTTTCCATCCTTCCTTCTTTTCTTTTCTTTCCTTTCTTTCTTTCCTTCTTTCTTTCTTTTTCCTTTCTTTCTTCCCTTGCTCCCTCCATCCCCTCCCCTGCCCTTCCCTCCCCTGCCCTCCCCACTCACTCCCTTCCTTCCTTCTTTCCTTCTCTTTTCTTTTCTTTCTTTCTTTCTTTCTTTCTTTCTTTCTTTCTTTCTTTCTTTCTTTCTTTCTTTTTCTTTCTTTCTTTTCTTCTCACACCACATTTCTGTATACTCTCCTATTGTCTCTATATATTCCAAATAAAGGAAGTCATACACTGTGTGGTCTTTTGTGACTGGCTTTCTCCAGTTAACATATTTTTAAAGTTTATTCATGCGATTACATGTCGATACATGTTACTTCATTCCTTTTCTGTCTAATTAATATTACATGTATGTTTACACCACATTTTATTTATTGATTTGTCAGCTTGATGAATGTTTGTGTGATTTCCACTTTCCAACTACTATGCGTTACACAGCTATAAAGATTAATGTATAAGAGTTTGTGTGTGTGTGTGTGTGTTTTTGTGTGTGGCTGTGTGTTTTCATTTTTCTTGAATGTGTCCATGGTGTAATCGCCCAAAGGTTTCACCTTGCCAGCTTCATAGACAGAGCCGATTTATCAGGACAGGGGAATTGTAGTAGATAAAGAGTTTAAATTCACACAGAACTAACTGTACAGGAAACTGGAGTTTTATTATTACTCAAATCAGTCTCCCAAAGAATTTGGGGACTGGAGTTTTTAAAGATAATTTGGTGGGTAGGGGGCCAGTGAACTGGGAATTTTGATTGGTCAGGTTGGAGATGAATTATAGGGAGTTGAAGCTGTCCTCTTGTCCTGAGTCAGTTCCTGGGTGCAGGCCACAAGACCACATGAGCCAGTTTATAGATCGGGGTGGTACCAGCTTATCCACTGAGAGCATGGTCTATAAAATATGTCACACAGTGATCGTAGGTTTTATAGTAGTGATATTATCCCTGGGAGCAATCTGGAGAGGTTTAGAATCTTGTAGCCTCCAGCTGCATGATTCCTCAACCATAATTTCTCACTCTGTGACTAATTTGTTAGTCTTGGAAAGGCAGTCTAGTCCCCGGCAAGAAGGGGGTTTGTTTTGGGAAAGGACTGTTAAGTCTTTGCGTCAAACTATAGACTATAAACTAAGTCCCTCCTAAAGCCACTTTGGCCTGTGCACAGGAATGAACAATGACAGCTTGGAAGTTAGAAGCAACATGGAATTGGTTAGTTCAGATCTTTTTTACTGTCTCAATTAAAATTTGTACAATGATGGTTTCAATACCAATACAATTTCTGTCACTTAGTTCCTCTATGTGTACCATTTTGAGAAGCTGCTAGACTATTTTCCAAGGTGATTGCATAATGCTACATTTTGATCAAAAATGGTTCCCATTTCTCCACATCCTTATCAACATTTGATACTCAGTTTCTTTTTTTTTTGCTGTAGTTGTTATACTTTAAATTCTGTGATACATGTGCAGAACGTGCAGGTTTGTTGACATAAGTATACCCATGCCATGGTGGTTTGCTGCACCTATGAACCCATAATCTACATTAGGTATTTATCCTAATGCTATCCCCCTCCATATCCCCACCCCCTGACAGGCCCCAGTGTGTGATGTTCCCCTCCCTGTGTCCGTGTGTTCTCACTGTTCACCTCCCACTTATGAGTGAGAACATCTGGTGTTTGGTTTTCTGTTCCTGTGTTAGTTTGCTGAGAATGATAGTTTCCAGATTCATGCATGTCCCTGCAAAGGACATGAACTCAGCCTTTTTTATGGCTGCATAGTATTCCATGGTGTGTATGTGCCACATTTTCGTTTTCCAGTCTATCATTGATGGGCAAGTGGGTTAGTTCCAAGTCTTTGCTATTGTGAACTGTGCTGCAATAAACATACATGTGCATCTGTCTTTATATTAGAATGATTTATAATCATTTGAGTATATACTCAGTAATGGAATTGCTGGGTCAAATGGTATTTCTGTTTCTAGATTATTGAGGAATCACCACACTGTCTTCCACAATGGTTGAACTAGTTTACACTCCCACCAACAGTGTAAAAGTGTTCATATTTCTCCACATCCTCTCCAGCATCTGTTGTTTCGTGGCTTTTTAGTGGTCTCCATTCTAACTGGTGTGAGATGGTATCCCATCATGTTTTTGATTTGCATTTCTCTAACGACAGTGAGGATGAGCTTTTTTTCATATGTTTCTTGGCCTCATAAATGTCTTCTTTTGAGAAGTGACTGTTTATATCTTTCACCCACTTTTTGATGTGGTTGTTTGTTTGTTTGTTTTCTTGGAAATTTGTTTAAGTTCTTTGTAGATTCTGGATATTAGCCCTTTGTAAGATGGATAGATTGCAAAAATTTTCTTCCATTCTGTAGGTTGCCTGTTCACTCCGATGATAATTCTTTTGCTGTGCAGAAGCTTTTTAGTTTAATTAGATCCCATTTATCAGGTTTAGCTTTTGTTGCCATTGCTTTTGGTGTTTTAGTCATGAAGTCTTTGCCCATGCCTATGCCCTGAATTATATTGCCTAGGTTTTCTTCTAGGGTTTTTATGGTTTTAGGTCTTAGTTTAAGTGTTTAATCGATCTTGAGTCTATTTTTTCAGTTTCTTTTTGATTTTAGCTATCCCAGTGGATGTGAAGCGTTATCTCATTGTGGTTCTGATTTGCTTTTGCCTGATGGCCAACAATCTTGAGAGTATTTTTTGTGTGTTTAATGGCTACTTTTATATCTTCTTTGGGAAAAACATGTCTACTCAGATGCATTGCCAATTTTTACTTTGGTTAGTTGTCGTACTATTATTGAGTTGTAATAGTTCTTACATGTTTTAGATATAAGTCCTTTATTTTATATATATGATTTGCAAGTATTTTCTTTCATTTTGGATGTTTTCTTTTTACTCTTGATGGTATTCCTTAAAACGCAAAACAAATTTTGATATCAAATTTATCTATTATTTGTTATTTGTGATTTTGTTGTGATATATAAGAAAGCTTTGCTTAATCCAAAGTCATGAAGGTTTAATCCCTTATTTTTTACTAAAATTTGTTTATTTTTAGACTTACATTTAAGTCTATGATCTACTTTATGGTAATTTTTGTGTATGTTGTATATAAGGAGCCCAGTTTCATTCAAAAACTGGCTCGTTATCAGGAGGAAAGCACTGAGCCATTCATGGGGATTCTGCTCTCATGACCCAAACACTTCCCACCACTTCCCATTACATTTGAAATGTAATCCCCGATGTTGGCAGTGGGAATGTAATGCGATTTTGTTTATCTGGAGAGTTCTTTATTTTTTTCTTCAGTTTTGAAAGTTAGATTTGATGGACATGAGATTATTGATTGACTTTGTTGGTTTTTTGTGTCAGCATTTTGAATATATTATCCCACTGCATTCTGGCCTCCTTTCTTTTTCATGAGAAGTCAGCTATTAGTCTTATTGTGGCTCTCCTGTGCACAATGAGTCACTTTACTCTTATTTCTTGCAAGGTTTTCTTTGTCTTTGGCATACAACAATTTTACTGTGATATTCTGAGCATTAATCTTTGAGTTTATTCTACCTTAAATTCATTGAGCTTTTTGATCATTTTTATTAATATTTCTCAGCAAACTTGGGAAATTTTCAAGCATTATTTCTTTGATTTTTTTTCTCCATGTTTCTTTCTTTCCTTTTTTTCTTGGTAATCCTTTTATATGTATGTTAAGGTATTTAATGTTACCCCCCCCCCCATTTCTTTGAGACTCTGTGTATTTATTTCTTATTCATTTTATGCTGTTTTTTAGATTGCATAATTTTGTTGATCCATATTCAAGTTTGCTGGTCTTTTAACTTTCTACATCAAATCTATCATTGAATTTCTCTACTATGGTTTTTCTTTCAGTCATTATATTTTGCAACTCCAGAATCTCCATTTGGCTCCTTTTTCTAATTTCTATCATTTTATATATAGGCTTTATTTGATGAGAAATTGTCATCATACATTCCTGTATTTCTTTAAGCATGCTTTCTTTTAGTTCTTTGAACGTATTTTTACTAGCTGTATTGAAGACCTTGTGTTTTAAATTCTACATCTGGACTCTTTCACAGGTTATTTCTCTTGTCTGCTTTTTATTGCATAGGTCAGTTATCTATTCCTTTGTATATCTTACATTTTTTTTATTGAAACTACATTTTAAATACTATATTACAGCAATTCCTGATACCTATTGCACCAGAACTTTTTGCTGTTGTTTGCTTGTTTATTTCTTTACTGACTTAACTGAACAATTTTAGTTGTCTTTTTTTCTGAAAGTGATGCCTCAGATATTGTGTTTCAGTGAACACTGCTTCAACTATATACACAATTACCCCAGAATGACAGTGGTTTTAGCAGGGATCTATTTGTCTTTTCTGTGATTTATCTGGTTAGCTATCTGCCTTCATTGGTATCATACTCAAGAGTAAGTCTTCACCACTTCCAGCTCTTTGCTTTATTATTATTATTTTATTGACAATGCTCTGGGACATAAAATGTTCCAAATTTTACTCAATTACGTTACTCCACAATTAAATCCTGGCTCATGTTCAGAGACAGTTTTGAGGTCAATAACTGGGTTTTGTTTTGTCTATGATGTTATTTTTAGCTTTTTCCTTAGTTGTCTCTGGTAAACTAGCTGCCCTATGGCTTAGCTTATTGCTTTTATAAGGTTATCAGCCTCTTCTTGCTACCCTGTAAATCACCTTCTTTTCTAATGTACCCTTTGTCTTGACCTTTCCCATCATCTGTTCCAAATAAAGTTTCTTTAAAGAGAGTCTTAGAGTCCTCATTCTTTATGTCTGCTTCTCTACCTAGGAAAATTCCTCTGAGCCATTGCACAAAGGCTAGGAACACGGACAGTGACCTACTTACGTTAGAGTGATACATATGCCTTATGATTATGTTGTTGGGTCAGAGTGGTAGGTATGAGTCTCCTTACCTTGCTTCTGCTGGTGTGGAAACTTTACTTTATGAGTGAGCTGGAAAGGTGATCCAGGACACAGGACACAGTTTTTTGGCATAACACACCTTTGATAGAGCCTCAACTCTATGAGTGGAGCTAGTCGAAAGGGAGCCCCTGACCTCTCATCCACATTTAACCACAATTTAATTTTGAATGGAAAATTATTCCATCAAGTGTATTTCTTATGAAATGCCATGGACACGAAAATTCTTTACATTTTTTTAGGAAAACCTATTTTGAGCCTTGAACTTTTCGAACCAATTATTAATCAAGCATAAAAACAAAGTGAAATCATTTTCAGACATGCAAGGACACACATGTTCCCCTCCTACTCAACATTTTGAGAAGGTGACTCAACCAGGAATAAGTAGAAATTAACAAATAGAAACATGTGGTATACAAAAAGGTGTGAGGACATACCCACCAAAATACTAGATGAGCAGTTGACTCAGAAAGTATTTGGTCCAAAGGCCATCAAACAGTTTCAAAATATTTAAAAGTAAGTTGAGTGGGTGTTATTCAGTAGACAAAGTGGGGAAATAATGGAAAACCGGCTTGATGCTTCTCTCTGCAATTAAATAAACAAAAGTATTCAGAATCTTCAGAAAAATATGAAATTTTAACCTGCTTCTTATAATTTATTAGAAATTCCATATACTAGGGACAATATTTTTCAGTAAAACAAATGTAACAGCTAAGTATTGAGCTCTTAATATATTTGCAGTATTATAATAAAAGCTTTATTCTCCTTGTTATTATTTTCAATTTTGAGCATTAATTTTTACTCAAAGCATTATGGATTTATGCTTATGGAACAGAATGTAAATATTAAAAAATTAAAATAAAGGTAAGGTTTGTTGAAATCAGGAGCAAGTACAGAGAGGATCAAAAAGGCAATTTTGTTTATGTAAAATTTTGATCATATTAAATATAACATTAGAGAAGGAATTAAATAATATAATAAAATTATTTTCATTTATGCTAACAACTACGTAAAGTATATCCACCATGCTATAGTAAATCTACCCTGGATATCTACTGGATATTGAGATCATTTTTTTAAGAGCAAAAACACATATGCTTTTTAGAAAAATATGTGAAGAGAAATCTTTTATAGAAATCTTCCAGTTATGACAGCACTCAGAAGATATAATGTGTCCCCACTGCTCACTTAAGGAACATGAAGTCTTGAAGCCTAGGGCTGCCAGTGGATTATTGGTTACCTGTAGGGCAATAGAGAAAGAAATAATGGTTAGAATCACTGGGGAATGTGGAGTTACACAGATTTGCTACCCCGAAATAATAATGGTCTTTCAAAAAACTCCTTAGTGGTACCTTATTTAAGCAAAATGTTGTTTTGAGGAGAGAATGAGATAATTGTCATAAAGAATTTTGCAGATGCCAAATCAAAATAAGCATTATGCATACTAATAATTATTCGCATATTTCTAATAAAGTGATTGAATGTTGCCTTCAAGAACCGTGATGTTGCCAGAAATATAACTTCTAGAAGTTCAGAGAGTTGTAATTGAATGACATTTGAAAAGACCTATAAGTGCCAACAAAATAATAGTTGATTGTCACCACGACCAGAGATCACTGTAATACTTGATTAACTTTGCTGATTAGATGGATGTATCCCTGGTAGGAGAAGATGCCAGAATACAAAAGAAAGGTCAAATGAAAACTCTTTAAGAACATGTCATTTCATAATAATGAAAAGCTGACTGTTGTGGCTATTGCAAAGGAAAGACATCATTAGTAGTAGCAGAAAAACTATAATTAAAATAAATTTGACTAATGAGAGAATTTCATTGTCATACAGTATTAAGGGAAAAGAAGAAAGAGGAGGAGGAGGAAAAAGCAGAGGAACAGTTAGGAAGAGAGAAAAAAGAAAAGGAAGAAAACAGGATCCATATTAATAGAATTGTGTTAAAAAGAAAAGTCTGTCAGGGAAGGTCATAGCTAGTGACAATGGGTAAATATCAGGACAGGAGACTAAAGAATAATAAAAAATAAATAAATAATTTTAAAACCCACAAACCGTAATTGAAATTGTAAGGGAGTAGAGCCATTATCGGGATTGGCACAAGCACTTGAAGAAGAAACAAAGAATGCATAGAGGAATTTTAAATGGGTTGCACCTAATTATTTTCATTTTCTTTTCAAGCTCCAAATTTGGTACTTTCCCATATAGTGAGATGCACATTATAGGAATCATTTCAGAGATAAAATTATTCTTTCCATCATGATTCCAATGTGAGTTATTTTGACAAAACTGGGTACCACCGCCAACATTGGAGATCTTGGCATGGAATGAACAAATATTAGGCGCTGCTACTTTAACCCATTTCCTACTATGATATGAGAATTAGTGGTAATCGTGTAAGTATTATTCAACCTTGAGAAAACATATTCTTTTTTTTTTCTGGAGAAATAAAATTCTTCTTTGCTAAAGATCTCATTTTTCAATTTCGAGTTACTATGGTAATTTTATATCTTCCTACAGTTTTCAAACTAATTTTAGTTTAAAATTGACATGAAGTAATTTAAAGAAGACTTTTTAAACTAATTACATGAGAAAGACTGTTTTGAATTTCACACCCTTTTAAGGTTCATGTAAAGTGTATAAGAGAAAACTGGATATTTTTAGTATTCAAATGAATGACTTTTTATTATTTTTATATACATTCATGAATCGTTTTTAATGTTTTTTTCTATTTTTTACTTCTACTTTATAGAGGTTATCTAAGGATACCAGTATCATATGAAGATAAAAGTATATAACATTTATTAAAACAAACATATACAGAAAGTATTATTTTGTCAAATTAACTATAGTATTCTCCCTTTTAGATGGCAATTCAACCACTATATTGCAATTTTCTTCCTTTATATGTGAGGTAGGTGCAAAGATTCACCTACTGACATTTCAATTTGTCTGCAATTCTACTTAGATGATTAATTATGTATTAGAAATATTAGGCAATTCACCCTTTTAGATCCTTATATACCTGCACAACACCTCCAGATAAACATTTACAAAAACAGAGCTTAAAAGTTTGTGAGTCTTTGTCATAAAACTTTCTGTGAGATTCAGAAAATTTTTATATTTAAATGTACAAATAAACATGCCCATGAATGGACATAGAGTGTATCTGTGCATTTAAAGATTTAAAAGTTGTTTCATTAGAGGCAATTTGGCTAAGAAATCACAAAATGGAAGTGGGGCAGGAACTCAGGATTTTCAACCCGTAATCTAATATTTACTCTTTATTCCATCAGTGGTTTTCAGAAATATTTTAGCCATATCATATCATTATTTTTTATTCTAGAAAGAATACTAACTTGGAAGCCTACAAAATAGAACCATTCTAGTTGAAACTGGAATAACCTATAATATTCTACCTAATCTTTCTACATACCTGCAACGCTCTGTTTTGTAGGGATCACTAGGGTTCCTTGGAGAGTTTTGAAAACATTTTCTTGCACCAACTTGACAATTCAAGTAGGATGGGGTTGCAATTTATGTTTATTACAAAAATAAGGTGTTCAAAATTGGTAATACATATTTATCACAGTGAATGCATATATATATATTTATACACATATATACCTACATATATACCACATATTTATCTGTATACATATATATATATATATAACTAGACCCAGAAACCAGAAATATTTCAGCAGTAAATAATAGAAAACCAGACTAACACTTTTTTTAATAAAGGATTATTACTCTTATATACTAGGGAAACTGAAGTGAGGTAGCAACTAATGTTAGCTCAAAAGGTCAGTATTTCAGGTGATCCAGTTATCTCTCATGGTCACAAAAAGATTTTAACAGGTATTATGTCCTCATTTAAAACAGGAAGAATCTTTCTTTTACCAGAAAGTTCATGTTATAACATAACAGGAGTTACGTGGCAATTTCTAGCTAAACATGGTGATTGGCAATATGCAGACTTAGCTTTTCCATTTCTCATAGCGGAGGTAAGGAAGAGATGAGAGAGCTGACTTTTTGAAATAACCATTCAGTACTATCTAACATGGTGACATTCAAAATATTTAAAGTGAGTGGATGTTATTAGGCAATATCATCTTTTGCACTTTGGAAGTAATTCATTTTTTTTCTTCTAGTCATATAGTGGTGAGAATGTTATTCATGGTGTCATTTCTGTATTTATTTAAATACTAGGATTTCCCAAAATAAACTTTAAAACATCACTGTCTTCATTTTCTGTTATATTTGCTTTTTTTATTTTAGGAAATCCAGAATATTATTCCTGAAAAATAAATATAACCCTCATTTTTGTATTGAGTATACTTCTATAGTCTATCTACATTTGGAAATGTCCTTATACATTGTTTACAAATTCTCTAGAGGCGATTTTTCATACCCTGAAGGTTCCAAGTCTCTACAAATCTATTTTTCTTTAGAGTTATTTTCCCCTTAGGTTGTTATTCAGCTTTCAAATCTGATAAGTGATAATGTCTCATAGGATATGTATATCTGAACCATATATACAAATCTGAACTATTTTGCTGAGGTAAATGATTAATCAACAGACAACTCCAGATGTCAGCCTAGTTCAGTATTTTAAAATTGCATTACTTCTTCAGCATAAGACGTCCTATAATTTCTTTTCTTGGTCTTTCTTTGCCTGATTAATATCGATTAAATGATGTAACTACAACACGCACTTCTGCACAGAACACATCAACCACATCTGAAATGCAGCAGACTCTAAGCAATAATTTGAATAAAATCTTATCAGTTTAATTTTGGTAGATTTTTTAAAAAGTAATCTTCCGATAATTTTATAGGTTGATAATTGTTTTTAAAATGATAGAAAGCCATGTTTACATTATCAGACATGGTAACTGGAAGGGTTAGCATGCTAAACAAACACCCAGTGGTCAACCTCAACATGGCATGAAATCCTTGAGAGCCACAATGTGTGGTCCAAAGGTATTGCTCTTGTTGCCCTTTGTGATTGCCTTGAATGAGCTAGCTGACAAGGATTCATTACTGAGAACTCAATTGTTAGGACAGTGTGTGTGTGTGCGTGCATGTGTGTGTGTGAGTGTGTGTGTATGTAAAGGGGTGGGAGTGAAACTGGCCAACTGGCTTTCATAAGCCTATGAGTTCTCTTATGTTAACACCATATAGTAATGGAGTGTTGGTACTAAATCAGGGAATAAAGGCTGCTTAGAAAGCTATTTTAGTTGGAAATTTTAAGTTCTAATTTGAATAATCAGAATTATTTTACACAATGTGATTGCCATTAAGATTTCATTCCTGTGTTTTGTGGCATAATTGTATGGTGGTAAGATTTGTGTACACTTAAAATCGTATTTACTTAGACTTAAAATACCTAAACTTACACAGACAGATCAATTAGAAACTGATTACCAGTTCCACAATTGATTCATCACTGAGTTCTTGGTCTAGTATACATATGTCTTTTAAGTTTTACATAAACAACTAACAAAAGTTTAATGGCCTGTAACTTGCAGGATTGTAGTGACTAAGAGAATTTGCCAAAAATATCGGACTAGAAAAAAAGGTACCTTCCTCTTTTCTGTCTTGATATTTGTTAACTACCCACCAGGTATACAGGATTTCATGTTTAGTATATAATAAAATCCTCACAGCAATTCTGGGTATTTTGGAATTGCTATAATTACTTAATAAAGGAGTAAATTAAGGGCCAGATATTTTAAGGGACTTGCCAAATGGCACACAGCTTGTAAGTAGCAGAACTGGGATTGGAGCCTGTGTTCATCGGCTGCCAGAACCTGCAACTATTTTCACTAGATGCCAGGGAAGGGAGAAGCAGAAGCCAAATAAGCATTGACCTTTTGCAAAAAAAAAAAAAAAAAAAAAAAATTAGAGAGAACCAGGTAAGATTAGACGAGCAAAGTTATGTTATCTTTTCCTCTCCCCCAGTCACAGACAGGCTATTCAGCAAAGGTAGAGCAAATTTCACTGGTAAGCAAACCAGAAGTTTCACATTAAACCAAAAGATAGTATAGAACATGGAAGAGTATGCAGCTTAGCTACAAAAGCAGATCCTTAATATAAAAGCATCTTAGCACAATGGGTACATTTTGCTCTTCTTACCCCTTTAAGAACAGCACCAGCATATCTTGGTATAGTGGCTTATTGCTAATGATGCTTGCAAATAAGTGGATGTGAGTGTGCGGATGAGGAGCAGATAGAGGAATGTTCATAATGCTAAGAAAACCATGAAATAGTAACAAGGGTATCATTGCATATTTTTAAAATTATTAATAAAATATTTCTTACAAAAGGTAACAGAAAGTCAATATTTTTAAAATTTAAAAAAGCAAAGAAAGGTATATTTCTGCCTAAAATGTTTATTTTGGTTTTGGATAAAATCATACATAATGAATAAAACTCAGAAGGTATATATTTCATTATTTCATTGCTCTTACTTTTTATATAAGAACATGAGGATCTTGAGAAGTTATGCTATATGTTCAGTATTAGTGAGCTTAACAGGAAGAGTTTACTTGATAATTAAATATTTATCATTCAGCAACCATTTTTAATTATGACTTGATGTCATTAAGTTAACAAGAGTAGTCCAATGATAATTTATCAAACACTGACGTGTCCACGATATCTTTTAACCCTTGCTCAGGATTTCGGAAATATGAATAAATATTAAGCCATATATTCCTGCTGTCCAAAGCATATATCTCGCATATATTTCACACGAAAATATCAAAAGCTTGAATTATCACTCACTGTGATATACTTATCTAGACTTTAGGATATACTTATAAGCATTTTAAAGTAGAAGTAAAACAAGGGTGCGGAAGAATCTGAGAAAATTTCAATTTTTATCTCTACATTCCTTGGAGAGCTTTCTTAGAGCCCAAGGGATCAAGAACAAATTACACTGCCTTCTCCTTTGCTCCTGAAGATTTTCATGAGAAAAGATTACTCTCAAAAGAATACTGAAGGCAACTCTGAAGGGAAAAAGTACAAAATGCACTGCCTAACAAATGCATAAGCCATTCTGTCTATATTCTTGTATGATAATGATAATAATACAATAAAACCATATATCTATGTGGAAGTTTATAATACAATACCTCTTTTATATTGTGTGGTCTGATTGTAAAACCATTCCATAAGCAAGTATAGAAAATGTTGTTTCAAATATTCAGTTTGCACATATGCATTTACAGACAAATTATATTGTTTAAATAATTAAGAAAAAAATGTATTACTACTACTACTAATAATGAGTAGCTCATATTTTGGGGGTTTTAGTTTGTGACGGGTACTGTTCTGAGGTTCCTAACATTATCTTATCTAATTCATACAACACTATTATATACCATAATTATGTCTTTTACACAGATAGGGAAATTGAGGCCTAAATATGTTATAGAGCCAGTAAATGAGGAGCCTGATTTTGAAAAGGCAGGAAGTCCAACTCCTCAGTTGGTACTGCAGAACCAGAAAATTTATTCTGTTTCTCAGTTCAAATGTTAGAGATTTCCTCAAAAAAAAGATAGAGAAGAGCAAAATGCTGTTCTATTTTTAGATTATGCCTTAAATCTTAAGTTTGTTGCTTCTCATCTAAGACTTAGTGTTGCTTACCAATACTAAATCCATATAAGAATTCAAGATAAAGTTCTAATTAATTAATATACATATGTGTGTATACATGTGTGTGTATATATATATGTACATATGTATATATGTATATATACATATGTACATATGTATATATACAGAGAGAGAGAGGGTGGGGGGAGTATGTAAAGGAAGGAAAATTGAGCTGTATGATCTGAGGAGTAGAAAATAAGCAATGTATTCACTTAAGAGGAAAGTAGCAATTAGAAGAAAAGGTTTGAGCATTTTAACAAAGATGACTCAATGTGATAGAACCAAACAAATATAGCAGAACAGATACAGCACTTTACAGATGAGGATTGAGGTTTGAGGTAGGAAAGCTATTAAGGATGGCTTGAATGAATACATTTTAGAGTATTTTAAACACTTGTTTGTGAACACCCTCTCCCCATACAACTGCTGCCTGACTCATTGTTTAACTAATACTTGTATGGTCCACCACCTACCCCTTGCAAATGCAGGGTTTTGTTTGCCAACTTTTAGATTAGCACTGATTTGAGAAATTTTATTTTCTAACTTAAAAAAAAAAAACATTGCTGCTTTGCTACTCCTTGGTATTTTAGAGGGATTGGAGGACAATTTAGGACTTGGTATCTTATACTTCACTGATATCTAAGCTAACAATGTGAAATTGATAGTTAAGGAAAATAAAACCATTTATAATAAAATTGTGTAAATGAGTATAGGGAGTCTGGAAGAAATTTCATTAAAACATCCACTAGAAACCCTAAATAAGATTCCTGGATTTTAAAACAGCAGCATAATATGTAATGAAAATGACCCTTTAAAAATTAGATCTAAAAATAAATAAAACATATTTGCATATCCTGGGATATTATGCACCCATTAAAAGGAAGGAAACCCTGTTACATGCAACAACATGGTTAAATCTCCAGGAGATTAGACTAATTAAAATAAGCCTATCACAAAATGATACATACTATATAATTCCACTCATATAAAGCATCTAAGTAGACAAAATCATGGAAGCAAAAAAATAGAAGGATGGAAGCCAACAGCTGGAGGAAGGGGAAGAGGGTAGGCGAGTGAGTGTTTAATGGGTATAACACAGTTTTAGCTTTGTAAAATGAAAAATAAGTGCTTGAAATCTGTTGAACAGCAATATAAATATACCAAACAGTATTGAACTGTAAACCTAAAGATATTTCAGCTGGTAAATTTAATGCTATTTATTTGTTACCACAATTAAAAATAAAATTTAAAAGTTGGATTTATAGTAGAAAATGTTAGACAAAAGAATATTTTTAAATGTTCTCAAAATTTATACAATCAATATAGCCTAATAGGAACAAACATACATGGGGTAGGAAAACGGTACAAATTCAATTTATTTTTTTAATGGCTAGAACAAATTTAATTAATTATCAAAAATTGGGGTGACATCTAATACTGCAAAATGAAAGTTATCATTTGCCACTTCAAATTCCATGCTTAATATACTATGTTAGCAAGAAATACACATCTAAATTAGCTAACTCATTTTGATTAACATAAATGTACCTGCATCATAAGATTAAAATAATGGGATTTACAAGACATCAGCAGATAAAGGGTCTGTGGCTTATCTACAGTTGGACTATAAACAAACAAAACCCCTAAACAACCAGAAAAATGACAAAAACAACCTGCATAAACGATACTTTATTAAAAGTTGTTAATTATTATAAACTTTCAATGTATATTAAAAATACCTGGCTTGGCGTGGTGGCTCCTGCCTGTAATCCCAGCACTTTGGGAGGCCGAGGCAGGTGGATCACGAGGTCAGGAGTTCAAGACCAGCATGGCCAACATGGTGAAACCCCATTTCTACTAAAAATATAAAAATTAGCTGGGCATGGTGGTGCGTGCCTATAATCCCAGCTACTCGGGAGGCTGAGGCAGGAGAATTGCTTGAACCTTGAACCGGGACCAGGGAGGCGGAGGTAGCAGTGAGAGAGATCACGCCAGTGCACTCCAGCCTGGTCTACCGAAAGAGACTTTGTCTCAAAAAATAAAAAAAAAAAATCTTATTAATTTGTGTTGTCTGTAACATCAATTAGCCTGTCATTATTTGCTTCACTACATACATGTTACATAGGAAGTGTATTAGTCCGTTCTCACGCTGCTATGAAGAGATACCGAAGACTGGGTAATTTATAAAGGAAAGGGGTTTAATTGACTCACAGTTCCACATGGCTGGGGAGGCCTCAAGGAATTTATAATCGTGGTGGAGGGTGAAGCAAACATATCCTTCACAGGGCAGCAGAGAGAGGTGCCAGCAGGGGAAATGCCAGATGCTTATAAAACCACCAGACCTCCTGAGAAGTCACTCACTATCAGTGGAACAGCATGGGGGGAACCGCACCCATGATTCAATTACCTCCCACCGGGTCCCTCACACAACACATGGGGATTATGGGAACTACAATTCAAGATGAGGTTTGGGTAGGGACACAGCCAAACAATATCAGGAAGTCTGGTTTTTAATTTCATCAGTTCTTTCCTCAATTTAATTATTACATTTTCTGGACTTGCAGTGAAAGTGTGGATCATATTACCAATGGTACTATAGGGGAAAAAATTGAACATCCCTGTTATCTTCCTGTTTTTCAATAATGAATGATGTGTATTTGAACACTCAAACAATTAGAAACTGTCTACAAGCTTACATATTAAGCAGTTTAAAGCACATAAAGACATGTAAACTATTTTATAATACAAGTATATGCATAATAGTCCATGATATAATGCATTAGGGTTGTAGTTCCTTAAGGCTGCCATAAGAAAAAAAAGTAGCAAAAACTTAGTGACTTAAAACAACAGAATTTATTGCTTCATTGTTCTGGAGACTAAAAGTCTGAAATCAAAGTGTCCGCAGAAGCAGGCTCTTTCTAATGCATGGCTCTGGAGAAGGATCCTTCCTTGCGTCTCTGGCTTCTGGTGCTTGCCAGCAATCTTTAGCAATCTTTGACTTGTGTCCTGTTTTTCTTTATGTTTTTTTTTTTTCTTTCTTTAATCAGGCACCAGAGAGAGCAATTAAACGGAGTTAAGATAGGACCACCACTTCTGTATCTTTTAAGTATTTGATATCATCTCCCAAGATGACATATTTCTTCTGATTTACCATCTTGGATGGAGAAGTGGGCATACTCAAGAGTTTCCCCTAATCCTTAACATAATGGGTTTTTTTATGAGTTATTTCAATTCCTATTGCTATGCGTACTAATTATGCACTAGAGGCTACATAAATGGTTATGCGTTGGGTCCACATGCGTTGGGTTCACAGTGAATACTGTGAACTGGCTGTGAGATAAATTGAGACAGAACTGTATTTAACATTTAGACTCTTCTCTCCCACTCTAAGATGAGAACTATGGTAGCCTTATATATCCTCTGATACAGTCTATGCCTGAGATATGTCCGAATATGTTCCTTTCCCCAAAGTAAAATTTGTCAATTGGCCACGGGTTTCAGTACAAAATATTAATAAAATATTTATTATATACTTATGTAGCCATTCTACAGTCATTGTTCAAAGAGACTTATCTTCACATTAATCAATGAACTGTTGTCCTAAAAACTCACTCATGGGCCGGGAGCGCTAGCTCAAGCCTGTAATCCGAGCACTTTGGGAGGCCGAGGCGGGCGGACCACGAGGTCAGGAGATCGAGAACATCCTGGCTAACTCGGTGAAACCCCGTCTCTACTAAAAATACAAAAAATTAGCCGGGTGTGGTGGCGGGCGCCTGTAGTCCCAGCTACTCGGGAGGCTGAGGCAGGAGAATGGCGTGAACCCCGGAGGCGGAGCTTGCAGTGAGCCGAGATCGCACCACTGCACTCCAGCCTGGGTGACAGAGCAAGACTCTGTCTCAAAAAAGAAATAAGTAAATTAATTAATTAATTAATTAATTTAAAAATATAGATAGAAAATAAAACTCAGGCGTATCTGAAAACTTGATGAATAATTTTAATTTTCTACTATATCAAAAGACATCATCTCTTAACTCTCCAACTCTAGACATTTTCTGGTAATACAAGTCAAGTAATTCTACTCCTTCCATAATTGACTGCAAAGGCAATTCTGGTATCTCTTTTATTTACCACAAGCCATCATCACATGGCAGCTTTAACTGGACATTCTTGTACTAAGACCAGCTCCTAGTTCATGCCAGTACATAAAATCTTGAGTCATAAACAATCAATAAACTTTTCTCTATCCAGCTTTATATTCTACATTTTCTTCTCCCATACCTTCGGGATCAATTCCCATCTATGGTGCTACCCGGGACATATTGGGCAAGTGTTATAACTCACTGGGTATACATACTATTTTCTCCCACAAATTGAATGGCATTATTCCTCAGGCTGTGTTATGACATGACCCTAGTTATTGGTCTGGAGGCAATGAATAGAAGCAGAGGACAATCTTGAGGGAAGGAAGCATCAACCTGTGAGCCCTTTCAGCACCTCTAGACAAGGTAAGTGTATGTGATGGGAGTGGCTCCTCCTCTCTCCATGGGATGGAATCTGTATCAGCTCAGATTCAAGGCAAAACATCAGTTCTGAATCTCAGGGTTATAACTCAAATATCCTCTTGCTAGACAGGTCTGAGTCCTAATCTTTTCCTGTCAGGAACCTGAATTAAACACAGAGGCTTGTAAATGCTATGCATGCAGTAGCCTCTGTAACTTCACTACCCTTACAATTAATTCCTAGGTTTAATTTTCAGCCTAGTTAACCCTGTAGAATATAATGTCTTTAAACACTGCTGTGGAGGCCTTTTGACTTTTACAGTATGCCTTGAATTTTAAGTTCTATAATCTAAATGGGTTCTTTTCTTCTTTCAAGGTTTTTAAGCTATTAAGGAAAAAAAAAATCATCTAAATCCCCAACAGTATAATTACTTTGACCCCTATTCCTTTCAAACGTCCCAATACCACATAAACCTGTACTTCAACTTATACATGCCTTTAAGACTAAATCACTTCCAAGTACAATATTAATAATTGTGATTCTACTGCATTCCAGGGTGATCATCTCCCTAATTTCCATAGTAGTCTGGGCCTTTGTATCATTTTCTAGTGGAAGAATGATTCAGTTCTAGTATACCAACACAGAATGGGATTCTCAGTGCCTCTTCTGATTCTAAATCTCTCAAATTTTGTTATACAAAGAAAGCAGAGCTAGAAACAATAGCATTTATGAAAGTGGATTATATTGGAAAGTAATTCCAGGGAAGAGAAATAGGGATCTGGAAAAAGTATAAAGAAAAAAGAAAACAAATGCAAGGGTACATTACTGAACAGATACTCACTATTGCCAATAGAGGCTGTTTTGTAATGACTATCTGAAGAATTATGAAAAATGCACTGGTGAATTGTACCATTAAGGTACTAAAGAGGGGAACAGTTATCTACTGCTTTACTGTTCCTCATTGTTCAAAAGCTGTCCCATGAGTTATTAACTTCCTTGTACTTCCAGGTTTGTGGATGAGAGAGCAAGCATCCCACATAGAGGCAGAAAGGTCCTAAGCAGAAAGTTAAAAGTTTCAGATGCAGCCAATCTAAGGAGTTGTCAAGTTATACCTATACACAGATGGTGGCCATGAAAACTTCTAGCACAGAATTAGATTTAGAGCATTATTTCCCAAAGTTTATTGCACATGAGAAACACTAGAAAGACTTACTTGTTAAAGCAGATATTTCTAGTCTCCACCCCCCAGAATCTCTGAGTAGGTCTGAGGTATGGCATGAGAATTCGAATTTTTTACATGTTCCCTGGTGATGTTGATACTGATGCTCCTGGGGCTACATTTTGACCACTATCTGGAGTTTGTAAGGTGGACAACAGGAATTGATTTATTCTCAAGTGTATAACTTATTCAAGCAAGATCATCAATGTACACAAAATAATTGGGTGAAAGATATTAGGACATAGAATAGTACATAATTTCAAATCACCACCTCACAAATTTCTTAAGTGAAAGAAGTTATACATACTTGACAGGCTTGTTGGATAGCATTTAGCCAAATGATCAGAATTTGCTAAATGATGATGAAAATACTAAGATTGTATGTCTGCTAGTGTAATAAATTAGCTAGAAGTTTTATTACTAAATGTCTAACTAAGTCTAACTTGAATCTTATGAGTAAAATAACCTAGATTCCTATATATATGAATATATATATGAATATATATATGAATATAATATATATAGAGAGACATACACATATACATGCACATATTATGTATGTGTATCTTAGATAAGGCAAAAATTTGAGGGTACCATTGCAGAAAAATGGAACCAAAGAAACATAACAATAAATTCATTGTATAAATCTTAATTATATCCTGAGGGCAGCAGATGCAGATATAAATGACACTATTGGTACAAATAGACGAATATATATAAAGACCCTATTATAGTTAATATTATTTTACCAATGCTAAATGTTGGAGATATGATAATGATATTGTGATTATATATGAGAATAATCTGGTTCCAGGCAATGCATGCAGAAGTATTTATGGGAAAAATGCCATGACACCTTTTATTTCCTTTTAGATATTCAGCACAAAATAATAGAAAGTGTCTATGGAAACAGATAGAGCAAACTTACTAACAATTAATGAATCTAGGTGAAGCGTATAAAGGTATTGATTATACCATTCTTCCAATTTTCTGTAGATTTCAAATCTTTAGAAATATAATAAATTTAGCAAAATATAAGATACAATATGATTTGCACTATCAAATGAACCTTAGAAACTTTCTAAAACTATTCAAAGGAATAAGAGATAAATTCTAGAATGAGACATTGGAGGAAGTTTCAACAAGACTGACACATTTGTACTGGGTCTCGAAAATTGGAGATTTTTTGACAGGTGGGCATAGAAGAGAAAGACACTCTAGCTATGATAATGATATAAACCAAACATAAAATGTTAATGCACAGTATTATTATTGTTGCTATTAAAAGTAATAGTTACACCTTGCAATTAATATATTCAAGACAGTGAAGGATTCAAAGAAAATTTAGATAAATTGTCCAGTGTCTTAAAATAATTAGTAATAGCTTTGTTCAGTTGCACTAGGTGGGAGCAATATATTATTTATACCAGAGGAATAATTTAAACTTTATCTAGGTAGACTATAACCAGCCCTCAAAGAAATCACAAATATATCATATATTAAGCATACAGAGCTAGAAGTAGTATTGAAGAGGTTAATTAGTGTTATCCAAAATTTACTATACTTATACCAAGCACAGAATCTTTTCTCCAGTGTATATCCATCATATAAACATGATAGGTTACAGGTGCCCTTAGGGCATAATTTAGTATAAATGAATATTAGATTAATTTGCTTGAGGAGCTCAAGTAGTGCATTAAATATATTCATTAGCCCAACATGCCATTGGTAATTTTGTGACCATCTATGAAAGAGGATTAATCTATTTATTTTTAAAGCAAAAACACTCCAATAAAGATGTAGACAGTCTAATATCTTTAAAGTTATTAGTGATACAATCTTGAAGATCTTGAATCTTAGTTATGAGGGCAAATAAGTATAGTTCAGCTGGTTTCTGAGGATGAAAAATCATAGTGTGTAAAAATCTAGGTTCTAGAGTCAGATAATCTGAGTTCAAATTCTAGCTCTGCAAATTTTTGCTATGTATTTTATAACACTTTTCCATCTCTAAGATAAGAATAATGACACTAAACTCATAAAGCTGTTTAAAGGTTATATGAAGTAAAACATAGTTTCAGGCACAGATTAAGTATCCAATAGGCATTTGTAGTTATGTTTTATGAGCTAGCAATTGCAACTGAATATTAAGAATTATAGTAAATTTTATGACTTAAGAAATAATTATTTATTATTATATCTCATGAGTGAGGAGGGTCGGAATAGGCTAATCTCAACTGTGTTTGGCTGATATTAAATGGGCTCACCTGGGGAAACGAGCAAGTTGGCTCTGTGAACAAGACTTCTCTGAAAAGGAATTTGCAGGAAAGAGACTTTATTCTAGTTAATAATTTGCAAACTGACTTTTTAGTGTAAAAATAAGTTGTGCTCCAGAGAACAAAGACTGGATTTGGGTTTTATAACAAAAATTTCTGCCCAGGTTCCCAATAAGTTCCACTGATGCAGATGAAATACCGAAGCTCACTTAACTCTGATTAGTGAAGGCATAAAGTTTCTGATTGGTCAATACAGCTGAGCACTCATACAGCTTAGCCCTTACAGGCCAGGGCAGATGAGTTCTGATTGGCTGGTTCCAAGCCACCAGAAGTCTTTTTTTAGATGTTTCTTTCAAACGGAGAGGTGGAGGGCATGTGGGGGATATTCTAGCTACAGTTCGGTTTGGCACTGACAACAGAACTAATCTGGCTTGACTGTAGAAAGAGAGGTCCCGTGATACTTTTACAATATCTTCCTGAGAACACAGACTGCGTGACTGCTCCCTCACATAGATATGGCCACCTGCTTCTGTTTTAACGTTGAGTACCTCAGTCAGCCATGGTGAGGTCATTGTGTCTTTTGGCTGGGGGCATATTTTAGCAGCTCTAATACTCAATTCTTATTCTTCCCCTGTGACCAGTGAGAGAACTCAGCATTTTTTTTTTCCATGGCGATAGAAAAGCACAGAAGTCCAATTGCACAGGCGTTTTTTAAGCCTCCATCTGAATCATGCTTACTAGCATCCCATTGACCAACACAGATCACATAATTGAGCCTATAGTCTAAGCTACACAGTAAAGGTTATGAAGACTGGGAAAGATTGGAAATTGGAGCATTTTTACAGTCTACCTAAGGAAATAGAGACCTATTTACACTGAGAAAGCAGACCCTTTTATAATATGTTTGGTATTTTCAAGCAGCTCACCCTCTCATAAGATTCCCAAGAGAGTTAAGCGTAAATGTCGATAACCACGGAAAGGTGATATGTCAGTAAATTCTTAGCTAGTTTTCCACACTTCTACCAATATAATGTGCACTCAGAACTCCTTTGAAAAGTATCCGTGGGTACAGAAAGAATGATCTAATGCACAATGAAACCAACTTTTTAATGCATGGCTTCTGACTCTCTGAGTGGAGTACACAGAGACCTTCTCCACTCCACCACAGGTACCGTTACGATGGTGAGATTGATCAGCTTCTAACTTTTCCAAATATATTAAAATTAATTGCAGTGGAAAGTGATCAAAAAAAGTTAACTAAATTGAAAGTTGATGTAGTACTAAACATTTCTCAGAAACACAAAAGCAGATGGATCTACATAGGAGTTAGCAAACTAAATCTGACCCTTAGCCTGTTTTTGCATGGCTTCCATTCTAAGGATGGTTTTTACATTTTAAAATGTTTTTAAAAATTCCACAAAATATAATGTTTGATGACATGTGAAAATTATATACAATTCAAATTTCAATGTCTATAAATAAAGTTTTATGGTAACACAATATATTCATTTGTTTACATATCTTCCATGGCTGCTTTGCCACTATATCCGTGTTGAGTTGTTGCAACAGAGAACATCTGTTCCTCTTGTCAATTCCCACTACTGTTCAGCTCACTATAAATTGCAGTGATACAATTATAAATTAACAGTTTCCAGCACTATGGGTATCATCATAATACATTTTATGTTATTTTTTTTAACAGTGCATGACCAACGTGTCAAAAAGAGGTAAGAAGAAAAAGTGAAGTTTGAATGTCAAACTTTAAAGACAGAGTGGAGTAATGCATCGTATATTATATATTATTATATATTATATATTACATATTTTTGTAATCAAATTGGAGGTCAAAGCATTATGTTTTTTCAATATGGAAACTATGGTTGTGCTAAAGTCAACATTACTGGAATAAACATTCATCATGACATTTTCAATGAGAAAGCAATGGTCAGATAAATTAGAAAATTTTAAATGGAGTAGCTTAACACTGTAGAATTCCTTTACAAAAAGGTAAGAGCAATATAAAAAGAAAGAAAAGAAAAAGAAGATGAAAAGTAACTTTCCAAGTGGTGCTCATGAACAGGTTTGAGCCAGCTCCAACACACCATTGCCTATCCCGTTAAAAGTTATCATTATCAAAATCCTGAGAGTTGTAAGTTGTCTTTCACTCAGTAGGAATGGATTATGACTGATTATTTCTATTTTTAAGTTTGACTAGATGCATCTATTTCTTTATAGCCTGAAAAAAAAATGCTAAAATAGTGCTAAACATTCCTCACTTAAAAAGAGTAGCAAATAGCAAATAAGTGATCAAGTACCAGGTGTCTTAGGTTCAAGGCATGTACCAGTAAATCTCATATCAAAGTAAAGTTGTTGTAATTCCTTTTATATGTACTGTACCTAGAATAATTTCTAAAATAATATATTCAGTCATAGTTCCCCAGAAATGAATAAATTATATATTGAATTAATATTAAAAAATAATTGTGTTAATAATTGACTGGCTATTGCTGTGCAAAGTTTAAAGCATTCCATAGATACATTTGTTTTTGTGAACACGTGTTTTATTCCATTGCTAAGTGTGTTGTTTACAGAAGTGCTTTTTATTCATGCATAGAGAAATTGTTACATTCAGTCACTAGCTATTATAAGGTGCTTTCAAATATGATTCTAGGGTATTTGATTTGGACTACAATGGGTGAAGTAAAGGCAAGTACCAATTTTGGCAGGCTGATTCAATTATCTATCATAAATCTAGATGGTAGGACAAGGGTAAATTAACAGACTCCAGCTTTTAGGTCTGAATCAACATCTTCTCCCTTAAGTAGACTAAATTACTCAGTTTAATCTAAGATTGCAGTTGGACAGAAGATTTGTAAAGTCTGAGTCTATGACTTTATAAGGATTTCTAATGAAGATAAAAGTTAGTCTTAGGTGGTCAGAAAGCAATTATAACTAGTCAAAAGTTCTCTTAAGTTTCAGTGTTTGTTATGTATGGATAACGTAATTGAAGATAGAGATGTGCAAACTAGAATCTCTACAGGATCCAAACACGGGGCTAGACACGGGGAAACTCAAGCAACTTCCCTTACAACAGATAATAAAAATTGAAGATATTCTTGTTTATTGTTCTGACCCTTTAAACTTGTGTTCCCAAAGTTTTTTTGTTCATTATGACTATCATCCCAGACTATTTACTATTAATATCTCCTTGACTTAATTTTACACTTTGTGAGTATAATTTTATTAACATCGATGTTCCGCATCCTAGCATGGTGCCTAACACAAAATAGCACCTAATAAATATTCTCAATCCATCTATGCTTTTAACAAATACTTGATAGCCTACTACATTTCAGGTGTTATGCTAGATAATGCAGATAGAGCAGTGAACAAGGAGACAAGGTCTATGAAACTCACCGTCTACTGGGAAAAAAATAATCAAACATGCTAATATACAGCATCTCTACATTCTGTAATAAGCAATATGAGGGTAATATTGTAACCCACTGTATTGCCTACATGACATTGCTGAATTTCTGCACTGCCCTAACTCTGCTTCTCTTTAAGAAACAGGACACTGGCAATATAAAATTTCCCTTTGTAATCACACCAGCTGGGACTGGTTAGAACCAAGATGGCTGACTGAACAACTTAAAAAAAAAACCCTCAGACATCATTATAATCTCATTTCCATGCTACATGGCACTCCCACCAGTGCCATGACAGTTTACAATCGCCATGACAGTGATCAGAAGAGGTCATTAGAGGACAAAAAAGAAGGTGACACTCTGGTTCTGAGAATCTCACTGTCCTTTTCTGGAAAAATACATGAATATTCCTCCCCTTGCCTTAAATGCCCAACCTCTTTGTTAGAGAAAACTGTATGTTAACCCCCTCAACCCTCACTAGTCAAAAAGTTTATATGTGAGCCAAGTTCTTGCTTCTCAGTTCTGCAGCCATCAAGTAAAGGCTGCACTGCTTGACATCCACCTTCAGTATTGCATATTGGCTTTAAAGACACCATTTGTTGGGCAACCAACTTTATCAGTAAGAATATAATAGGATGTAGTCTTTGAGTTGATTTCTGAAGGAGTAGAATAATCCATACAAATAGGTACGTATTATTAAGCCTCTTACCTTGTTTTTCCTGAGGAAATTGTCCTAAATGTCCAATGGTAAATAAATCTGTAAGTTATGAGCTGTAGATCACACTCAGATGATTCTCTCTTTTATCTACTACAGAGCGTATTTTCTACTTACTATAGGTATACCCAAAGATACTACTGGGCTTAGGGAAGATACAGGTTTTCCATTGCCAGAAGCTTGGGTAATTTGAAAGCTTCTCTTTGGATCACTTCTCTCAGTGATCCAAAATTGCAAATATAAGATTAATAGACACTCCTCCCAGGGTTTTGCAAGAATCTTTTGAAATCGGGGGCACTAAAACATATTTTTCATTTGTTTCATGGAGAATCATTGAGATTGCCAGATTTAGAAAATAAAATACAGAAAGACTAGTTAAATTTAAATTTCAAATGAGCAAAGAATAATTTTTAGCATTAGTATGTCCCAAATAGTGTATGGAACATGCTTATATGTGAAAAAAAGTGTTGTTTATCTGAAATTCAAGTTTATCTGGCTGTCTGGTATTTACTGTCAATTTGATGGGGAGTTAGGAAATCCCCATATTGCCAAGGTGGCAGAGGTGGGGAACTGAACGTAGAAACAACACCTAAACTGCATTAGTGGGAATAGGAGAGATTAGAGAAGAACCTTGTTTTGAATGACTTTTCTGCATAGGTCTTTCATATTTCTGTACATCTAAGGATAAATACTTAGTTTGCTCCAGACTGTTTTTTTTTCAAAGATTTTCATATAAACAAATATCCTTGAAAGATAGAGATGCTTCCCTCCCTAGAGCTGATTTTCTTATATTCTAGGCTAATAATGTCTCTCTCCAGAGAAGAATGATGGATAAGTTTTGACAGGATCCTCTTCTATAATAGTGGTGCTTGCTAATATTGGTGCTCTTCTCCTGTATCATGGCCTCACTCACTAACCATCTGTTGCTAGAGTATTAAATGAATATTGCTTGGCATACCACAAAAAATCTTTCCCAAACTCAATCCTTTAAAATTCCCCTAATACACTAATTTGTGCTGTAATAAAGCCAAACTTTGTGTATAACACACACACACACTCACGCACACATACACTTGCACACACTGCCACTGCTGCTAAGAAATATCTTGACTTTGCTGCAGTCATTTTTATTTCCCTTTATTGAGCAGTCTAGAACAATAAAATACACATACCTCATAGCAACAAAAATTCAGATGCCTTGATTTCAGAAACTGACAGCTTGGCAGATGGTGTAGGTTATTTTGGATTTTTATAGGCTTTTTGTGTATAAGTCGTGTGTCACATACTAGATAAATAGCACAAGGTCAGATGCGTATTATAAATTTTTGAAGTCCCAGTACTAGCACTGTAAATTATATTTGATAAATGTTTATTGCTCAGACATTTGAGTGTGCCCTTCTTCTGTACTGTAATATTTGGCAACTTGCTCCAATGTTAAAAACTTGTTTAATTTCTCCCTAAAATGGCTTGTCTCAAGCACTCCAACACAAAAAGCATATGCCTAAGAGGAGAAACTCGTTTATTTGCTTGGTCGTCTTTTGAATTTCTTGCAACTTTCCATGTACAGGGTACTTTCAGCACACTTCTTTTAAGAGAGGGTTGCTCTTGGAAGAGACACTGAAAGGCTTTCCTTTACCTGCTCTTCCCTAAGTCTCTCCCAACAGACAGGCTCTTAAACTCTGAAGAGTATACCAAGTGTCCTGTTCCAAGAAGTTCACCTGGGGTAAGGTAGATCATACATTTTCCAGGCATCTAAAAGGTAAACAACCCAAAGACCAAATCACCTTCTCTCACTCTCTTCCATTTGTTTACCAATGACTCTTTCATATGTGGTCTGTTAACTTTCTACTCCAAGAAAAAAAGCACAATGAGGCAATCACACTGAACATATCAGCACCAGAGAACACAACTACCTTACTTGTGCTCCCCAAGACCCTGTGTTTTTTGCTTTACTAAGATACTATGGTTTTTCTTTTTTTTAAATCAATCAATCAATTTGCCTGTCACTGAAGTCATTAGTTTTAAATTTGTCATCATGGAATATCATCTTTTACAAAGCAAATATCATCACCCTTTGATGGTCAGTCACTGTATCTGACAGTGAAAAAATAGGAAGATATTGTTTATTCCAGCTCTTTGTAATTTAGCCTTAAGACTGGCTCTCATTTAAAGATTTAGCATTGCTCAGCAAATGGATCTTTCAGAAAAATCACAATATTTTATAACACAGTTGAATGTATTAAGCCAAGTTTAATGATCATAAGTCATATATTTTTTTCCATAACCTTTTGGTTTACACTTGCAATTGAACCCAACCTCAATTTCATTATCAGCAGCTTTCCTATACTGTATTCAGCTCTTTCATTTATTTTGCAATTGTTGAAATAAAAAAAATTAAGATGTTTGACTTAACAAAAAGCATAGCTGAAATGTAAACAGAGAAAAAATCAGTTTGACACGTGGTGGTATACAGCCTTTTTTACTGTAGTAAATGTTGTTCTTTATATTACCCAAAGTATTTATTCTGTAGCATTATTGCCCAAGGATTTATGCACTGTGCCATAAGACAAACAAATCAAGCAGGATGGCTCAGGGACCATATTCCATCCATGCCAAAAGATTTAAATAAGTAAATAAAGAATAAATAGTTCCACTTACCATTCCAAATCTGGCTGGAAGTACACAGGGAGTATTCATTAGCTCACAGAGCTGAGGTAGGAAGTAGAATACCAGAAGGTCAAAAACAGATTTCACATAGAGTGGAATTTGCCAAAGGTCAGTGTTTCTTATGCTTAGTAGAAATGGACCTAACATAATTTATATAAAAAAACAAATTCTGCAAACAAACTATGTATTTTTTCTTCTTTGCTTTACTTTGAAAGAAGAACAATAATACACGAGTTCTAAAAAATGAACATATGGGTCTTTAGTTTCACCCCATGCTTATCTAAAGTAGAATTTATTCCTTAATTTTAAATCATACATTTTCCTTCAGAATTTTATGGTTATGGTACATGAAACTGAGAGTGGCATGTGTTACCTCTAGTACAAATGTTCACTTATGATTTTTTTTATTTTTAAAACCAAATTCCAACTATTTTTAAAAATTATTTTATTATTAGTTTCTGATACAATTAAGCAATCTAATATAACACATTTTTTTCCTGCTTTGAGGAATGTTCTTTCCATCCTTTATGTTTACAACAGATGGAAAGGGTTATATGTGTAGTTACTTTTTAAGTATTTGTATGTGTTCCAATGATTTCAGAAACTTTCCGGTAAAAAAAAGTTTGCTTATTTCAGCATCTTTCTCCTATTTGCCTAGAAAACACAAAAAAGTGATAAAGAATAAGAAAAACAACAACCAAAGAGGAAAAAAAATCCTGAAAAATCAATTCTAAAAAAGTAATAAGGGTACAAATAAAATCTTCAGACTCCACAATAAACAAAAGACTACCAATAATGTGACATGTGACTCAAATCTTGAGGAAGGAGTAAAATACAGAATTAGGAAAGTAAGTGACAGAGTCCAGCTATATCATATCTCACAGAGGACCAGGAATTGAATACTTTCTGAATGGAAGGACCTCATCCATAGTACAAAATACACGTGTCATTTGCAATAATGGGTGCAGAAACCAGAATGGTCAGGGCTGACGGCAGAAGAACTTTTGAACCAGATTTACTTCAGGAAGCAAAATTGGGGGATTTCCCAAAGAAATCACAGACAATGAAAATCTACCTGCAGATGTGAAGAAGTAGCAAGCAAGGCCACTGTGGCCTCAGCACACGCATACAGAGAAATCTCTTGAAAATTGCTACTTCATAAAATTGTTCTTGCTTAATCATGGAAAAGAAAATAAAAGTAACATGGCCATAATCAACAAAAGTGTGATAAGAAAACGTGTGTGAATGTAAATGAGCATCAAATTTTACCAGCAAATGAAGAGCATTGACTAGAAATTGTTGCCAAGCAGCAAGTGACGGTAATCAAACATTTGCAATCAAATAGACAACTGAGCAAAACAAAATATAATTAAGTCCACCCTCGATAAAGAAAAAACAAAATTCAGAAACATAAAATTTGTAGGAGAGCAATAATGACAATAATTACAGAAAAAGATAAAATATTAGAAGTATCCAATAAAGAACAGGAAAATCACTAACATAAAGATTGAATTTGAAGGTGCACAAGAATGAAAAAAAAATGTACAGGAAATTTATGAAAACTGTAGTAATAAGTGATTAAAAAAATAAAGACCAAAAACAATACAAAAAATTATCCAACTCAATAAGATAAAAAAATACGCAAAACAGCAAGCAAATAAAATGAATTAAAGAAAAATTTTAAAATAACAGATATAAACAGCAACTGATCTTTGGGAGAGAGGTAAATATATATATACATATATATATATATATACACACACATACACACACACACATATATACACAAACACATATGAGAGAGATACTTTTGTGTATATATAAAATGATATAATAATTCACTAGCCACCCTAATGAAGACAAACATGGAGTGAGCTCAAAAACACAAATTATTTTGAGGAAATAATCACAAGGAACATTCACAAATCTAATTTTTTGTATGCAAATAGACTTCTTAAATACCTAGGTAAATAGATATCAAGATATATCATATAAGATACATAAGAGACAAACACACTAGCTTTTTGCAGAATGAGACTGTTACCAAAGAACATATACTCCTCAAAAAGCACCTAGCCCAGTCAAATCCATGGGATAACACATCCTTTTCAACTAAAGAATTTTTATGCAACATAAACTGTTAAGAGAATATAAAAAGATGAAACATTTCTAGATGATTTATAAAAACAAACTTTCATAAATCACTGATTTTATACTTCACAAAGATTATACAAAATAGAAAACCACACTGTCACTAATAAATGGTTTTTTAATTCCTAAATAAATTTTAGTATAGAAATTTAATAGCACATTAAAAATAATGCATTAGGTAAGTATGAATTATTCCAGGAATAGAAGCATAGTTTAATATGAGGAAATCTATTAATATAATGTGTCGTTAGATACATGGAGACAAATTGTGCCATCATTTCATAGATGCTGTTATAACACAAAATGTTGCATTGAGAACACGGACTATACAAATCATGCAAAAATATTTCATGTTTCAAAGCATTCAGGGAACTGCTATGCTCAGGAGCTAAAATATATACATTTTGGAGAAATATGAGACTATCAGACTGGGTTCCATAAAATGTCCCTTTTCTTCTAGGAGCATGTATTTTTGTTTCAGCTTGAACAGACAGGATTTTATTGAGTAATGTATGTGGAGACATTAATCACACAAAGGAGTCATTTTCATTTATGAAATTCTCCTTTTCATAATCCCATTAATTGAACAGCTTACATGACTTTCAAAACCACAAGGCTCCATAAATTCATATATCCCAGACTTATTTATTATAAATAATCTGGAAAAATGTGGTGTGTCCTACTAAAAACATTTGATTGAAAAATATCCTTCATAGTCTTTTTGCTAGCAAATAGCATTAGCATTTTCACCAGGAGGACTGTGTAGTGGTCATTAGCTTCTTTGTGAGGGTATTTGATTGGAATAATTTATACCTCTGTGGGGTCCTAGTAGAGAGGGAGGGGCTGTAGGCCTGCTATTTGCAATTATCTCCATAGGCACTAAAATGACACTTACAACATTCACCAACTTTTATCAACAGATAAATTATTAAGAGAAATAATTTTGAAGTAAGGAAATTAGAAAAAATATAAAGGCAAATAAATGACCCATTGGGAAAAAAAAAAGACATATCTCTGGAAAATAAAAAGAGATACAACCATAAAACTAAATAAGAAAAATAATTTTTATACCTAAATTGTAATCTACATGTGTTTCAAAATAGAGCATATGAAAATGCACCTCTTATAGCACTAGCCAAAGATAATATACTTAGAAATAAAATTATCTATAAATATAAGATCTATATTATCTTATTTTTGTAGAAGTAAACTTTAATAGACACATTTAGAAAACAAATACTCCAACACACACACACACACACACAAATATTGAGCAAATAAAAAAATAAATCCAGATAAACTCCATTTAATTAATTCAAGGTAAAATATCCACTGTTATTTTCTCTGTAAATTCATTTAAATATTTAATATCCCTATAAAAATACAAACAGATTTTTTTAGAATTGAATTATTTGAAGTTAATATTTACATACAAAAATAACAAAGTGTAAATCATGGAAAAAATCTCTGAATAAAAAAGTGAATGATAGAGGATTTTTTGTACCAGATATTAAATCATTTTATCAAGACTTAAGTATTAAATCAGCATGCTAATATTTCATGAATAGCTTCATACATTAAAAAACAATATAAAGTTCAAAATAGACCAAATGCAAATTAACCAATAAAACTGGGATGTGAAATCAGTGGAGAAAAAGATGGAACATTCAATGAATCCTACTTGTAATCCCGAGTAGCTATCCACAAAACAAACAAAAACACAAAATAAAAATTGATATATTTCACCTCATATTTGTGGATAAATTACAAATGGATGAGTGAAGTGACGTAAATGAAAATCATTAGCATTAAAATATTAGAAAACATGGAGGAAAATATTTTATAAACCTAGATTAAGCAAAGCTGCTGTAACTATGATAAGAGTTAAAAAAAAGTAATTACTGAATAAGAAAATGAATAAAGTAAGAATGTGAATGACAAACAGGTAAAATTATTAACAATGCCATCCACAAACATAGACAAATCTCCACACTACATATCCTACTATTAATTTAGATAAATATGAATAAAAGAAATGAATAGAACAAAAATGAATGTTTCAAACAAATAAGTTCACTTTGTTCTTAAAATCATGAAAATATGCCTATCTTTATTCTTCTTAAGAGAAATACAAATTAAAATGATATTGAGACACTACTTTTACCTTTCAGTTTGGCAAAAATCCAAGTTTGTAAACACAGTCAGTTGATGAGGTGTTTGGAAATGGACAATTTATAGCTGATCAGAATGTAAATAGTTATACTCCAAATTAAGACAACTTAGAAATACATATTAAATTTAAAATTACTCATACCTTTAACTCTGCAATTTCATAAAGGAATTTGTTTTATAGATACATAGAAACATGAAAGAAATATGATGTGTACCAATTTTACTATTTGAAACAACTGTAATGACAAATTATAAAAAAATCAACTTGATCAAGTTAAAAAGGAGAGTACTTTCATTTAACACAATAGCGTGGAGAAAGATAAATCTTTCCGTGTACTAAAAAGGAGATATCTTAAATATATCACAGAGTATTATATTTTGTGTAAAATAGGGGAAGATACTTTCTTCATATTTGCTTATATAAACATAGATAAACTCATGGAGGACATAAAAATAGCAGTTAAGACTAATTATTTACAGATTGATGATTGGATTGGTACTGGGAGGACAGGGGACTAAAAAGAAAGAAATGATTTTATTACAGATTTTATATAGATACATACTGAAGATTTCTAATTCATACTTATATTACTTCTATATTTGTCCATTAGACAGCACACTTCTATGAAAAAGAGTTATTTCCACATTATTTTCTTAAGTATTAACTCATATTTAGTTTTGTTTTTCAATGTTTTCTTATTTATTGCCAACACTGTATATTTTATACATTGTCTTTGAAATAAATACACGTTTTTCCTACATTTTTTAAAAAGAACTGAAAAGTGAAGGGGGCTGAAATAACTAAGATAATAAGATAATGAATGTAATTAAATAAATTCGCTATTTGCTACATCTATCAAATAAACATAAAATGTTATATTTTATCTAATAGAAAAAAGAAATGTTTTAAAATAATTGCTATACATCTTCTATGTAACCTTGAAGAACTGATTCTCTAGTGACATTTGAGATAATTTTGTTTTGCATCTTACTGTTTTTTCTGACAACTTAATATATGAAAATTTTCCATGCACATTTAAAGCCATACATGCTCAAATATCATATTTGAAATATAAATGTTAAAAATGAGGGAATGATTAATAACAAAGGGAACACCTTTTTGTTTCAGTGGGTATATATCTAGAAGAGACAACTTTCAAGTATACAAACTGTGGAAACTAATTTGATATTAATTAACTAACACTTTAGTTACCATGTAAATATCTTCCAAAAATGACATTCAGGATTTTAAATGTCATAACTTCCTTCTATTTGGCTTTTAATAAATGTACTGTAGAGATTCTATGGTAAAATCTTAGGTGATAACACCGGAGGGAGACCACAGTGCTCTCAAGCCACAGGACCTTGTTCCTTTCATTGGGTTTCACATTAACATTTTACAGTGTCTTATCTAATGCTTGTCATTGGTTTTACGTTTCTTCCTATATTCCTTTTTCTTATTTTGATTTTTTAAAGTTTGCATTTAAAAATGTTTTCTACATTTTTATTTTGAGGAATGCCAAACTTAGTGTTGAAAATGTGCCCAATTGGTGAACTAAGATTCACCAATATTGTTCTGTAATTATATTTTTCTAAATACACATACACATTCTTTTCCTTTGAAATATCTGAAAGAAAATCGAAAACGTGAAGACCTTCATCCCGAGTGCTTTAAAATACATCTCATAGAAAAATCTCTGTCCAGAATCAATACGAGAGCCAGGCAGTAACTTAAAAAATTTTAATAGCCACATTTATAAAAGCAAAAATAAACTCTGAATTAATTTCTATAATATATTTTATCTAACCTATTATAGTCCTCCAATGTCATCATTTCAACATGTAATGAACATGAAAAATATTAATGATATACTTTGTTATTTTTAATTCTAATTCCAATGTGTAGTCTTATACCCTGAGCATGTTTGAATTTGAAGTCACCATGTTTCAAGTGCTCACAGGCATGTGTGGCTAGTGGCTACCAAACTGAACAGTGTAGTTCACAAGCCTTGCTATGGTCCAAGCAGAGAATGGCAAAATGAATGCTTCACAATTTTCGGCCAAACATCTCACCTGTGCAATAAGACAAGGCAACCTTATCTTTACCCAAGTGTCCTAAACTATCTCTTGAAAAGGTGGCTCTCATTAGTCCTACCAAAATTATCATTAAATAAAATAAGTATATCAATTTATGAGCCATCCTGTGACCATCTTGGGAAGGTCAGTTTCGTCTGGAGAGATAGACAGTAACTATGTGTCCTGATTTGTCCTTCGTTGTCCACGTCAGATACTTAACAATTTTCCCCCAAACAACCCAAAGCACCTTTATGCATCATTTACCTTCTTGGTATTCCCTCTCCCTCTCTCTCTGTCTCTCTCTCTGTCTCTCTCTCTCTCTTTTTTCCAAACAGTAAATGTTCTCTTTACTTATGCATAACTAAAAATGCCATTAACGAGGCTGTTTTCTTAGTCTGACTTCCCTAAAATTAGGCTCTAAGGAGAAACACTTGTCTGCAGTAGTTTATTTAGAAATGTTATCCCACAAAGCAGGAATATAGAGCAGGAGATGTACGCAAAAATAGTGACAGACTGTCAGTACAAAAACATGATATTAAGTTGGCATTTCTAATAGCGAATGATTTTCCATTCCGCCAGAGCCTTATGATCAGTTTTATGAAGCTGCTCATCCAAAGAAAGGAGGAAAACGTTTATCCGTAAACGTTTATTCATAAAGGGTGTTAGCACCCCTGCAGGGCCTCACTGATCTTGACTCTCAGGCTGCACACATACACCTGAATGCAGAAGGGATTCCCTTGGCTTCCTATTACATCAGTGAAGCCCAAAAAAGAAAGTGGTCTGCTTGAAGCAAGGCTTTGTCCAACTTTGCTTGCACTAAACTAGGCAAAGCTTATATGAAACTGAGAACCACTCACCTAGCTAAATAGTAAAGCAATAGGATTTTGAAATAATATACAAATGTTTTTGCGTTTCTGTTTTTGTATAAGCTCCTGCCCCCTGCCACAGGAATAAGAAATATTTCCAGTCAATTTAAGTTGCCAGCCCTTACAAAATGAAAGAGATATTAGATTGCTTGTAATAAGTTTTCTGATTTTTGACCTCGTTCTGAATGTCTAAAGATATTTGCACACAATTTGCCCCAAAGTCATAAGAATGTGCCCCCATTCCCCACCCCCATTCTTCGTATTCTGTTTATGTCCCACACTTGAGTATTTGAAAACACCATCACGCCAAGAATGTGAACCTCTGAAACCAGCATAGCCGATCCTTAGTGTGTTTTGGTTCTTGGTATAAAAAATACAAAACAAAATAAAACCCATGAGTTTGATTATACTATACAATTATGTGCAATTAGAGCCTTATCTAATTCAGGAGGCTTGAGGTATTCTTCAATCCTGTTTCCATTTTCAATGTATTTTCTGGAGAACTGATTTAGATGAAATGCTTCTCAATTATTTTCAGCATCTAATTATTACCACTAAGATTTAACTTAGCATTATACTCAATTTGAAATCTATTTGTGCAAAATTTAACTTTCATTAAAGCTGCGTCCACATTGTTGCTTATATCCTAACGGAAGTATCTAGTGTCATACAAATTCAGGATCCTAGAGTTCCACAAATATGATGTATGATTGTTTTCAAATCTTCCTCAGTGCTTATTTATCCTATTCTACTTATTTTTCTTATCATATTAGAATGAGTCTGGACCCCATGCTATTTTGTACTCCTGGTTTATAAGCTTCAATAATTATTAGAAATGGAAGAATCCCAAAATTATGCCTAAGCTATGTATTTCTCATTTGAAAACGATAATTTTGCTTTGGTGTATCCTTGAATTCAAATTTAATACTTGAATAATTAAAAGTGAAGTTTCATTCTAATAGTTCCACCCCATCCTCCTGCCAGCAGATCAACATTAAAACTTTTATTCTACTTCTGTCAAGTTCTATCCTAATTGAAGAGGCAGGTATTGTTCATTTAAGCATAGAGCTTTTGACATTTAAAGTAATTGAAGCAAGTGAATGTGAGTTTTTTCAAATGCTTCATATATATTATCTGTACTTTAAAACTCAAAGTGCTTATGCAATGAAGTGGCTAAATCCTTTATGAATATCAGTGTAAGAATACAGTAGGAATGTTATAACAGATAAAGAAGGAAAATAAAATGGACTGAAAGTTACCTACCTTCAAATTATTCAAAAATATTAAGAAACAAAGTTTAAGCCAAGATAAAACTTTTGTCTATTTTTTCTTCAGTTATTTTATTTTATCAGAGCAATTAATTCAAAACAATGAAAACCTGACCAATTCTGAGTACTGTAACTGTATTTTTGACTCTGTGTGTTGGCATGTGTGTATGTGTGTATGTGTGTGTTGCTGTATGTTCTCAAGGTTAAACCAGGACAACTCACGGGAAAGTGAGCTCGAAGAGAACTAGGATATTAAAAAATACATGAGGACTGGGGTCAGAAAATCCTAGACCATAAATTCTATGTACCAGACCTTCTTAGTCTTACCCACCACAATATCCACAGGACATAGAACAATGCAGTGTGATAGGGACTATGAAAATATTTGTTGTATAAATGAATGGATCATTTCCTTATGTTATCATTGAACCACTAATTTATTGATTCACACACACACACATACATGTTGAGATACTTTAGTGACTTCGATATTGAGACAGACCCTGGAAATACAAATATGAAAACATTCTCTAAGCTCTATTGTTAATAATCACACAGTTTTAAGAAGATATTGGCATATAAATAACTATTATAAATGCAGTGATAGAATTCTGCCTAAGAAGATGTTGTCCAAGCTTCTTGAATAGAGTCAGGTAAAGTATTAATAAGGAGAAAAGCTTGAACTGTGTTATTAAGTTGAATTGTGTTTTAAAGAAATTTATCCCACAAAAGCATTGACCAAAATAAATAGTAAAATAGTAGAACGGGGAAGAGATAGGAGGTTGTGGGGATATTAAAAGACCTCCCAACCACCTGATGTTCTAGACAATACTGCAGAGGCTGTAACAATAAAAATGTAAATCAGGGTATCTAGTTCATCAGCTCATCAACCTTCTTATACTGACATCAGCAAAAGAAGCCTATTGAAGGCCACAATATGATAAGTGTCATGAACTTGAAGCAAATGGTCAATTCTTAGAAATTTTAGTTTTTTACTAATTAAACTTCTCAACATATTCCTCTAATCACGTTTACTACTGTACTCTGATAATAGTGATACTGAAATATTTTTGCTTATTTTCTTAACAATTTATTTGAAATATTTCATTGCTTCCATGCTATATATGTGCAATCATATATAGTATAATAAGTATAATCACTTACAGATTTTATTATAAATCACATTATCCAGTTACATTCATAATGATCAGAGACAAACATAGAAATTTGCTTAATTCCTACATTTTTACTGCTTTCATTTCATATTATTTTTCTCAGTTTGAAAGACACTTGTTTTTATATTCTTTATTCCCTTCTTTTAATAGAATCAAATCTACAAAACCTGTTTATTATAAGTAACATTTAAAAATCCAGTTCCTACTATTGCATTTTCTAATTCTCATTTCTTCGTTGTGAAAGCCCTCATTATTTTACCTTAAGTCTTCGTTAGTTGACTATTGTCTTTTTCTCAAAGAAAAGCATAAGGGAACCCTTTTTCCCCCAATGTCTGAGTTTACAATATAGAGTCTTAGAAACACTCCATGTAGACAATCTACATCTTGCTAAAGGGAAAATGTTTTACACTAATATATGTAAATAATTTAAATTATGAATAAAGTCTTTAACACTATATCACCGTTATATAAATGGCTATTTTTGGTTGCCAAACAATCTGCTACATAATTTATAGTGCATAAAGTTATACAATGTATTAAGGTAAAGATGAAGGACCCATTTTACAGGTGATATCTAACTCGCATACAATTTAATTTGCTCTCAAGGGAGACACAATCCAAAGAAGTGAATGTAGAACTTGAACTCAGACATGATTCCTAAATATTAGAACTTAAATATTAATCACAGTGCTCTGAAAATGCAAAATCAAGTTTAAAAATAAAAACAAATGAAAATTTTACTAAGTAAAAACTCATTTCAGAAATCAATTTTTTTATTACCTGTATCTAAGACATTTTCATCTTATTGGTTTATACTGACCAGGAAGCATGTCTACTGATGTGCCTAACATTTGCTTATTTATGAATTAAAGGAAAATATAAATAATAGTCACATGGTTCAAAATAATTGGAATATAAACATATATATAGGTTTATATATAAATAAAAACATATAGATATAGCTATATTGGCTTATATATATAGGTTTATGTATAGATAACCTATGTATAGATAACATAGTTTATATATGACCTATATATAGATAATATGTAAACCTATATATATATATATTATATAGGTTGAATTATTTTGAACCCATGGGACTATTATTTTGAACCATGGGACTATTATTTAGATTTGCCTTTAATTCATAAATAAGCAAATGTCGGGCACACCAGCAGCCATGCTGTCTGGTGAAGGGCAGAATGACTTTTATGGATGTCAGTGTTGAGTCTTCTGAGGCTAAGAATCAGTAGTCAGAGAAATCCACGGAGACTAGAGGATGGATTTGTGCTAAAGGCCAACATTTACAGCACATGCACAGTCAGTAGGACAAACACAAATGCAAGGGCACGTTGAGAGAGACTAGGAGTCTGAATTTGAGATATATGGGCAGTTACAAAGGTGTCTCCATTACCAAAGTGAGGAAAAGGGATATGTTTAACCAGAAGGAAACACTACAAATTATTAATACAAACTCAATTTCTTACTAGGACTTCCTGTTTTATATAAGAAAATAACTCTCTTATCAGTAGAAGAAAAGTAATTTGTTTCCTTCAAAAATTCCAAATGCATTCTAATGTGCATATCCTTGAGGATTCACCTGGGAGCAGTTTTAAAATGGAATGAAAAATTAAGATTTTAGAATAAAGTTTCAAAAGAAATGGCATAATTAACACAAAATAAATCACCAATTGTAATGCAGAACGTTCAGTGGATACAGCTACTGGATTGTAGGTCAAGGTGATATCACAAGGCTTTTAATTTATTTGCAGGCAGCATGAGAGAAAGCTTGTAAAAAAGCAACGTATTTCTCACTTTTAGGAAATTGATTTGCTGATTTGCTTGATCTTCATTTGTCAGTGGCATTGTGAGGTTTTTTCTTCCCCCCTATAAATCTTTCACATAGATTTTAAAGTGATCTTTTGCAGGTGTGTCTTACAAAATGAAGTGTATATCAACACTGACTGGTACAGAAAACAGATTTACTTAATCTTCTGCATGCATCTGCCAATCAAATAAAAATTGAATAAATGCTCTGCGATGGTTAATATTGTCAATTTGATTGGACTGAAGGACGCAAAGTATTGTTTCTGGGCGTACCTGGGTGTTTCTGGGTGTTATTAGAAGAGATTAACATTTGAGTCAGTGGACTGGGAGAGGAAGACCCACCCTCAGGAAGACCTACCCACAGTGTGGGCGGGCACTATCCAATCCGCCGCCAGCACGGCTAGAAATAGCAGGCAGAAGGAGGTGAGAGAAGCTTACTTGTTGAGTCTTCTGGCCTTCATCTTTCCTTCACTGGATGCTTCAGTTCTCATACATCAGACTCTTAAGTTCTTTGGCTTTTGGACTCTTGGACTTACACCAGTGGTTTGCCAGGGGCTCTCGGTCCTTCGACACAAAATAAAGGCGGTACTGCCGGCTTCCTTACTTTCGAGGTTGAGACTCCGACTGAGCCACTACTGGCTTAATTGCCCCTCAACTTGCAGACGTGGGACTTCACCTTGTGATCCTGTGAGTCAATTCTCCTTAATAAACTCCATTTCATATATACATATGTCTTATTAATTCTGTCCCTTTACTGAACCCTAATACATGCTCCGTAAGGAATGAAATCTACTTGTATTTTTATTTTATTTTATTTCATTTATGTATTTATTTATTTTTATTTTTTTTTATTTTTCCACAAGCATTTTATTCAGGCATATGCTTATTTTCCTTAAAATATGTTAGCTTTTAATGAATGATTTATACTTTTTTTTATTATACTTTAAGTTTTAGGGTACATGTGCACATTGTGCAGGTTAGTTACATATGTATACATGTGTATTTATTTTTTTGAGATGGAGACTGGCTGTGTCCCCAGGCTGGAGTGCAGTACCGCGATCTCCCCTCACTGCAAGCCCCGCCTCCCGGGTTCACGCCATTCTCCTGCCTCAGCCTCCGGAGTAGCTGGGACTACAAGCGCCCGCCACCACTCCCGGCTTATTTATTTATTTATTTATTTATTTATTTATTTAATTTTTAGTAGAGACAGTGTTTCACCTTGTTGGTTAGACTGGGCTGGAACTCCTGACCTCAGGTGATCCACCCGCCTCAGCCTCCTAAAGTGCTGGGATTACAGGCGTGAGCCACCGCGTCTTGCCTTATTTTATTTTATTTATTTTATTATTTTTTGAGACGGAGTTTTGCTCTTGTTGCCCAGTCATCAATGGCCCAGTGGCACAATCTCAGCTCACTGCAACCTCCGTCTCCCGGGTTCAAGTGATTCTCCTGCCTCAGCCTCCGGAGTAGCTGGGATTACAGGCGCCTGCCACTACGCCCAACTAATTTTTATATTTGTAGTAGAGATGGGGTTACACGAGGTTGGCCAGGCTGGTCTCGAACTCCTGACCTCAGGTGGTCCTCCCGCCTAGGCCTCCCAAAGTGCTGGGACTACAGGCATGAGCCACCATGCCTGGCCTACTTGTATTTTAAATAGCTTAGACAATGTGGTCATTCATGAAATAAAAATCTGAGTAAATTATAGACTCTGGGGATTTTCTTTTGAGAAGAATGCAACACAAATTAATAGCTTATAGAAATAAACCCAGAAAATTATGTTTGCAAAAATATTAATTCAATACCACATTGCTGAAATATGTCACTACTGGATATACATGTTGAAAATATAGTAGTTATTTATTTTATCTAAATGGTAAAATTTGTGTTGTATTCCTAAAAAGATCAAAGTAGTGAGAAAGCCATGATATTATTTTTTATTAAAATATTAAGAAAAATGTATTACCACCATAATATCAGATATTATAAAGTCATGTAGTAATGTGTTCAATTGTAAAGTTAAATTTATAAATTCAAGTCTTATATAACTAAATTTACATTAGAATTTCTGTGAGAATTGTATATTTTCACAATCTTTCATATAATATATAATATTGTATTATAATTACAATTTACTGTAATGTAAAATATGTTATCTTTAAACAATATATTTCCAATAATATATGAAGAGTTGAAATTAAAAATACTTCTGGTAGAATACTTTATATTTCATTAAATTATTTTGAAAAGGCCTGGCTGCAGTGGCTCACGCTTGTAGTCTTAGCACTTTGGGAGGCCAAGGCGGGCAGATCACTTGAGGTCAGGAGTTCGAGACCAGCCTGGCCAACATGGTGAAACCCCATCTCTACTAAAAATACAATAATTCGCCAGGCGTGGTGGCAGGCACCTGTAATCACAGCTACTCAGGAGGCTGAGGGATGAGAATCACTTGAACCGGGGAGGCGGAGGTTGCAGTGAGCCAAGATAGTGCCACTGCCCTCCAACTTGGGCAACAGAGTGAGGCTCAGTCTCAAAAAAGAAAAAAAATTTTTTTTGAAAAGCACCCTAAAAATCTTCCCCATATACTTTGTTCTGTCATCTACTCTTTTTTTGAAGTGAAAGAAGATCACATTAAAACATTTAAGTTTAACCATAAAATGATGTAAATATGCCTTACTGGAAAGAGTAAAAGCTCAAGTGAATGACTGTTCTTTAATTGAGAGAGTGTGTTTTAAAAGCTTAAATAACCTTTTAAAAGTGATCCATTGCTTCCTTTTCTCAATGCAGGAATTCAGTAGGGTGCCTATTAAACATTTCCTTTAAAAAATCTTACCATCATTAAATTAAGATTATATTTCATATTCTTTAATTCCATAGAAAAACCAGTTAATGAAGACTAAAAATCAAATGTGGCAGGTTCCAAAAGAAAGTCATGCTGCAATTTCTCAAATGCCACATCTGCCCCAGGAATGTCTTTAAGTGATGATTTAACATATTTGGATCCTATTCAGGTGATATACCTCGGTAAATTTGGGTTCATAACAAGATTACAAATGAAGAATTCTTCAAGTGTCATTTTTACTTATGAGTAATTTCTAATTAGAAGAATGTTTATATGAACCTCTTAATCAGTGAAATAAATTTTATTGACTATTGGCTTATATATTTTTAGGGAACAGACTAGCTCCAATTTGATATAACCATCAATTACATTTTACAAATTAAGAAAGTGATCCTAAAGAATAAATGACTCATCTACTTTATTTTTCTGTATACTACATACTTCATTTAATCCTTGGAGCAGAGGAGGAAACATATTTTACTAACCAGGAGAGTAAGAAAATCTATCTGATGTCACACATTATGCTCTCTTGAGAAATGCGAATTGCAAACAAAAGGATTTACTTTTCTCTAGATATGTCTTCATGTAGATCCAGTCCTTGGTCTTTTTCTCCTTATTTCATTCTTCTTTGAGGAGCTCCAACTGCTCACAGAATTTCAATCTGTATCATAAGGATTCTGAGTCTCTCCTATTCTGCTGTGCATTAACACTATAATTCTCTATCTCCATGTGTCTATAAAATATTGCTGATTCATCGTTTCATTAACTTAGAAACTGAGAGTGATTTTCAGGTAGTTACAATCAATTCTTGATTTCTCTTCTAGGAATTAAAGGCTTTCTAAATAACCAAATCAATTTGAATTCATTGTCTTCTCAATGTTGTGCTCAAGTATTGTAAAGTTGGATTGCCTCAAGTGGCCTTAAAAATATTTTGCTGCTATCAAAACTTATTCAAAAATCAATTGCTGATGTATACATATATTTTATATACAGACATATACAAAATACATGCATATAACAGAAAGTATCACAGTGCTTTATCTTAGCTAGTTTTGTCATCTTTAGACATGTAAACACTGAAATACCTTGAGTTGATAGCAAAATACACTATATCAATTTATGTAAGTAATGTGTTTAATACTTCTTGTTAATATTTGTTAAATCTTTATTTTAGAAACATCCACTACAATGAAATTTAAGCTTTCTCTAGCTCATGGCAAGATTCGATTACATATTTGTTGAATAAAGAAATTACAATACCAGAGAATGTGATTTTTACATTTACATTCTTTAAAAAGAAAACAGTGTTTCATTACTTCCAGTATCAATTGTAAAATCTTTACAGATGCCAGTTTTAGGATCTTATGTGGGATAACTATTCATTAAAATAGAAAAACAAGAATGTGAAGCATAACATTTCACTCAAAAGCATACTAGGCATTTGGTCCTAGGAAACTTTTATACTGAAATAACATTTTAGACAAAATAGTGTCTTACATGGTGCTTTTATTGTTTAGTGGCTATTTCCACATAGATCCTATTCAGATGATATTTTATTGACTACCACTACTGATAAAGCAAATACATATATAGTGTATTTTGCCTGTTCCAAAATTTAATTTTTGTACATTTGCCATTACTTAATTTTCAAGTTCAGTTTTAAGTCTTGAAATCTAGGGCAAGGAATAGCCAGTCTTTAAACAGAATCTCCAGGGCACAACCTTTCTTAACTGCATGCTTTTATTCTTGTAATCAGGGATACAACTGAATCAGCACATGCTGACAATCGTGCTTTCACGTGCTTCATAGACACCATCTAGAACTAGATTGGGAGAGTAATTCTGACATAAGACATGTAGGCTTTTCCTTTAACTAGTTTTCTCCCTGTTTGTCCATTTTGCCTTTCTTATTTGATCATTAGTCTTCGTTCAAGGATGCTAGATAATCAATGAAAGCAGAAGAGCCAGGAGCTCATAGTTAGTCAAGAAAAAATACTGTATCACAGACCACAGGCATAAATCGACGTTTTTAAATCACCCCTCTGAAATTGTTCATTGGAAAAATAACCATCGTCAGTGCTAGAACTGGGCTTTATACACAGTAGGTACTTGATAATTGTGTGTATATAGTAAAGATGGAAAGTCAATGTGAAATGTCCCGATAAATGAAATGCTTTTTGTAAGTTGAACTAAACACTAAAACAATAATTAAATTTGTAAATCTATACGAGTTCTGTGGCTAAAGAAAGTTTATATAATTATAAAGCAGTTCACAATTAAACATAGATGAATAGATAAACATGTCAAAAATGTTCAGCTCTTGAATCCTCTTTTCTCAAAAGAAACATTATTCTGACTTGTAATGCCATACATTCCCTTGTCCTGTTTTTGAATTTTATATAAATATAAACATTCATATTTTACTTTTTGTGTTTTTCTTTTGTGCAATAGTTCATATGTAAGATTCACCTTTATTATTGAAGCAGTGGCTCATTTATTACTTTATCGTTCTGTTGATGTACATTTAAACCGTTTGCAGCTTGAAACTATAACAAATAACATCACTTTGAAATGTTGTGTACATGTCTTTTTGTGCACTTATATACATATATCTGTTTAAGCCTTCCTACAAGTGAAATACTGGCTTATGGGGCATGTGTACTTTAACATTTAGTAAATACTCTTAAATAATTTCCTGATGTAGTTGCAGCTGTTTATACTTCTCAGGCAGTTAAGAAAATTTGAGTGTTTTATGTCCTCCGTAACACTTGGGATGGTTAAGTCTTTAGCATTTTTTTCCCTTTTAGATGGGTAAGAAGTAGTAGTATTAATACATAGGCTATTAATTTGCATTTATCATATACCAATGAGGCTAAGAACCTTTCATGTGCTTATTGGTCATTTAATGCCCTCAGTTTTATAGTTCCTGCTCAAGTATTCTACTCATTTTAAAAAATGAGTGTTGTGTCTTTTCCTTGCTGCTGCTTATATAAATCACTTAAAGTGGTGCAGAGAAATGTTCCATTGCCATGGTGGATTTGTTTCATTTTCCTTTTAATTCTGTCATTTTGTTATTTATATATTTTGGTGTTATTAGTAGCTTGGCAGTTTAGGATTGCTATATTTCTCTGGTAGAGCCACTATTTTATCATCAGGAAATGTCCCTCTTTTCTATAGAAAATCAGTTATACTCTTGAAATCTACTTCATCTGTTATTAATATATTGCATTATCTCTCAGTTGATTAATGTTTTGTAGTGTAAGTTTTTCCATCAGTTCACTTATTTTTTTGTTGGTGGTGGTTGTTTTGTTTTGTTTTGTTTTTATAAAGTCGGCTAGTCCTTGAGTTAGTTGTAATTCATCACTACTTTGAAATTAAGCTAGCTTTTATTTTGAAGTTTTATTTTTACAGAATGTGTTTTTTTTTAAAAAAAACCTCACATATATCATTGATTATAATTTAAAAAATAATGTTAGGACTGTATTGTAAGGTGATGTGTTTCCTTTTGTTTTATTCTATGCTTTCACAGGCATTGTTATCAGAAGAGGGTCAACACTTCACCAACTGCTCCCTGTTCACCCCTCTCCCTCCCCAAAAACAAAAAGTCCTCATGGTGGTTTCAAATGCTCAGATTATCTTGCTGGGTTTCCTTTCCCTGAACATAAGTCCATTATTCCTCATTATCTTGCTAGTTCTGTGCTGTCTTCCATCATATATGTCCTATTTTTTTCAAGCTTTAATAGTTGTTCTCAGGATTAGTCTGTCTTAACCTTGTCCATTATTACTAGAAGTTTAACCACTCCTTTTTATTTTCATTTTAGACACTGATCATACATAGTGATTTCATTACTTTTGAACTTGACCTATATTCCTAAATTCTGTTACTATCTTCAAACATTTTCAGCGATACAATTATACAATTTCTAAACAATTATGTTTTCTACCCATCCCACTTATATACTACTTACTATTTTCTTGTACATAATTGATTTGGCTAGCATTTTTTTTAACAATATTTTAAAACATTGGTAAAAATGGGGATCATTGTATTGTTCCTGACTACAATGTGTTTCTTACATCAATTACTATAAAGCTAACTTTTGTTTTAATAGTAATAAAACGCCAATCTATTCTTATTCTTATCTCATTATTTCTGATCACAAATGGGTGCTGAAATTCATTACGTACATTTTTTTCTTTTGTGAAAACTACTTTATATTCACGTAATTGGTTAGTATGTAACTAATTTTCTAATATTCGATAACCTTTGCATTTCTGCATTGAGATATTTTGGCAATATTTTATCATTTTGAAATGTGGTGGTTAGTTCCTATTAGTATTTCATAAATTTTTTTCTGTCTTCATTTATGAGTGAGATCATTTAGTAGATTTTTTAATATCTTGGTTCGATAACAATCTAAGTGCTTATATTTTTGTTAATAAAGTAAGAAAACACATAACAAAACCATTGTATTTTTCTACATTGACATTATTTTCAAATATTAGCTTAATTCAACATAAATTGGCCCTAAAAAAGAAAACTTTAAGACTAAGTAATAGTATATTGTAAGAATATTCATACCTAAGTAAGCTAAAATAACATAAAATTGTAAAAACAATTCAAACAGAATATTGAAATTTACATGTGAATTATCTAATTATCTGGAAGATCACCTATACTAAGTGTGGTATAGAATGTTTTACTTTTATATATTTGTGTCCATAATAGGTCACCAAAACTTATATACGTGTGTGTGCGTGTGTGTGTGTGTGTGTGTGTGTGTGTGAATAAGTTTGTATTGTTATTTTAAAATTTTATTTCAGTTTTTGGGCTGAAATCACACATCAGGCTAGGATTACAAATTGAAGAACTAAGAAACTCGAACAGACTTTTTATTAGCAACCAATTTAGCCCTCTACATATAAGAAAATATATCTATGATTTTTATACTGAAATATTTTATGAGATATACACATTATAGTGAAAAAATTGCAATAGATTGCCCAAACCATTGTTTACTATTTTTATAGCTACTTACACGCAAGAAAGAAAGATATGAATTTTTCCCAACCAGTTAACCACTTAATAATTTTTCACTGTATATGCTAGAGAAGCAGCCAAAGATTATGGGTCACAAAACTAAAAATGTGTTCCTTATATCCTGATATCTTATAGAAAGATTTATGGCATGCAGAAAAATAATAAGCCAAAATTCAGATAACCAGTAAGACATACATAGTCACCTATCCATGTTACGTATGTAAGAAGTCTTGAGATAGCTACCCCGCCATAAGTAATGTGTAATCATTCCTCGAAGCTATATTTTTGCATCATCTCAAAGATATGCTCCTTCAGAGAATTTTATTATCATTATCAAGGCATATCTACAATTTGCCCAAAGGAGTAAAATATACAGTTTCAGACATGGATTTCTTAATTTCGTTTATGAATTATATATTCTCCCTTCGTTCCAAATCCTTTCTGCCATGAAGGAGTATTTGAGATTTTATTTCTAAACCTACTCACATTAACTTAGGTTAGAAAAGCAAAATTAAAAAAAATTTAGAATTATTTAATTCAAGGTATAATATACTGTGTGTAAATTGAAGGTTTATTTTGTGCTTACATATCTGAAAAAAACTGGAAGTGAAAGTATGCAACTTTCTTTTTATTGACTCTTCCTTACTATATTGGCTTACATTTTTCTTGATTTAACCTGTTACCAAAGAATTCTTGCTTAATAGTGCAATTTTATTTAAGTGTCCTTGGTGGTCATTATTGAGCCATAGTTAAAAATCTTAATTTTTAAAAAACAAAGCCGCATTTATTTTCATTTATCTTAAATTATTTTGCATATCTAACTTGGTTTTCTTTTATAGATTTTGTTATATCAAACAGTGAGTTTGAACATGTTTCATTTTCACCTTCCTAAGTTTTATAGTGTACTCAGAATTGCTACCACTCTCAATATTAAACAGGAAATTAGATTAAATGTCCTACTCACTCACACATAATTGTCACTATTAGCCTAATTAGGTGATTCTTTCACTTTAAAATTCTTGCTTCTGGGTAGATTTTACCTTTGGGTGTTTAGACTAATTCTTCTACAACCTGGCTGGAGAGAATATCTAATCCCACTGCGTGCTATTAGGTATAATTTATGTTGGTAACAAACATATGTCACTAAATTTCACTGTTTATTTCATCACATTTTTCAGCTGAACAAAGATTACAAATTAATGAAGTGAAAGCTAGCATATTCAGCAAAGCACAGTTCCAAATAAAGTTTCTTTCTTCACATTACACTAACACATTATTTATTTTCCCATCACATTGCAGTAACACATTATTTATTTACCTAAAATAAGTTCTTCAACTGATTTTAGAATTCTACCTGTCTATTCATTATTTAAATTTTATTACTGGACTTATGGAAGAATGCCAACTGCATGATGAAATAGATATTAATGATAGCAATTTGACACTGTGGTATTGGTTTTTTAAGTATTCACTAGATTATTCTATACAACAAGAAAAAGTTGATGTTTTTTATGGTTTTTAGCTAAATGTTATAAATAGCTCAATAATTACTATTTGAAAAACTTAATGATTGACTAGATATAAAAAGACAAAAATGTAGTTTGCTCTACATACATTATTCAACTGAGCACATTCTTGTGAAACCTAGATAACCTCAATGCCTTGGAATTCTAAATAAAATAGTAGAAATAGATCCCAAACTACATTCATGCCTGAAATACTTCATAATATAAAACATTCAGAGAATTAATCTGTATTTATGCAATTTAATTTGTGTACAAATAACTCCCAATTACCTATATAATAAAGTAAAACTCCTAAACTTAAAAAAAAAAAAAAAAAAAACGTTCTCTACAGCTTGGACCAATAAACCATGTCATTCATTGCTTCTTATGTCCTTTACTCCTGCTGTGCACATATATAAAAACGCAAAACACATACACAGACACACTAATTTTTCTAGGATACAGATAATATTGAGTACAATCTCTAGATTTGGATGCTTTTGTATTTGGTCATGCCATTCTCTGATCATGCTTTCTTATTTGACTCAGAGAAAATCCTACCTGCTCTTATAAAATTCATCTCATGTAACATTATTTTCAAATATTCAATAAGGAATTGATTTTATTATTTTGCATGTTTCTGTAAGGTTACGTGATGTCTGGAATCTTCCTGATTTCTAATACTGTATTTTTTTAAGACTGAATTAACAAATACATGCATGCTCACACACACACAATCTCTCACAATATATCAGTCCAGATCAGCAGTTCTCATGTATATTAGAATTAATTATGTTGGGAGTTCTTTAGGAATACTAATGCTTGTCTCTAAATCCCAGAGATTCTTATTTAATTTCAGGGGCAGGACCAAGATGCAAGAAGTTTTAAAAGTCAACTGGGTGTTTCTAATGTATAGTCAGGGCATGATCCACTACAGTAGATATGCTGTTGTGAGAATTAAAGTACTTGAATAATTAAGAAAAGCTATTCTCTTTTTATCCTTTGTATAGACTTTCATAGAGACTTGCACAATGTATTAGCTCTACTAATATGTGTATTAATGCAAGTGTTGGAGCTACCTAAAAGGTGAATACTTGAAGACAGCGTGGTCTCTTCTTTAGTTCCTCTGACTGTCAAGACTCTCAGATCAACACATCATACCAAAACCTATAGTAGGTGAAAGAAATAGAAAAAAAAAATAATAGAATAACACAAAAATACAGACAAAAATATAGAGACTTCTAGGCAAGATGGAGTAACAGGAATTTCATTTTCTGCTGGAAACAACACATGTGAGTTAGTAATCATCAGAACTTCTTAATGAGAGAAAGTCTGGGGACCATGGCTAATAGAGGTAAAATCAAGGCCAAATGCAGAGGTCTTTCCTAGTTGTAGAGATGGAGCATTTAGCAGAAGGGTCACAGGGTGTTATATGTCAAAGAAGAGGGTGCTGGAAAAGAAAGAAACACACAGAGGGTTAGTTCTGGGCATCTGCAGTGGTCCTCAAGTATGAATAGTGAATTATTGCATGAATTATGAAAGTATCTGAAGCCAGCAGAAAATAAAACTACCCAAAAAGAATAAAAAGAAACAATTACAGGAGGTCTCATGTGGTCAAGAATAGTTCTTCTTCTCATCAGCCAGAAAAATAGTTTCTCTACTCATCAGCCAGAAAAGTAAACCTCATAATTTATGGGGAATTAGATAGAGTACGCAGAAGTATTTTACCTCTGTAGTGAGGCAAAAGGAACTCTAAATGTTTTCTCCATTCCTAACAACACTTAAAATTAAGATCTAACTCTTCAGCCCTGGTGATGAAAATATAAAATGGTATAACAAATTTAGAGGAAAAGTTTGACATTTTCTTAATAACAACGCAACTTTTCCACTCCTCAGTCTTTACACAAGAGAAATTATATTTTATATCCATAAAAAGTCCTGGACAATAATGTTCATAGTTTTGTTTCTGTGGCTAAAGACTGTAGAGAACCCCAATGTCTATGAAGAAGTTAATGAATAAAACAAATTAAAACTTAACTCTACAGTGAAACACTACTCATCAATAAAAGGTAATAAATTATTTATCCATGAAGCAACATGAATCTTAAACTAATTACGCTATGTGAATGAAACAAGAGAGAAATGATTATATAGTTGTATTTGTCAAGATTTTCCAGAGAAACAGAACCTATAGAAGATGTGTGTCTGTGTCTGTGTGTGGTGCGTGTGTGTGTTGTGTGTGCTGTGTGTGTGTGGTGTGTGTGTGTGGTGTATGTGGTGTGTGTGTGTGTGTGTGGTGTGTGTTTAGAGGTATAGATAGATGATAGATAAATAGTTTAGATAACCATCATTCTCAGCAAACTATCTCAAGGACAAAAAACCAAACACAGCATGTTCTCACTCATAGGTGGGAACTGAACAATGAGAACACATGGACACAGGAAGGGGAACATCACACACTGGGGCCTGTTGTGGGGTGGGAGGAGCGGGGAGGGATAGCATTAGGAGATACACCTAATGTTAAATGACAAGTTAATGGGTGCAGCACACGAACATGGCACATGTATACATATGTAACTAACCTGCACGTTGTGCACAGGTACCCTAAAACTTAAAGTATAATAAGAAAAGAAAGATAGGTCAATTATAAAGTATTGATTGCTTTCATGATTCTAGAGGCTGAGAAGTTCCATCATCTTTCCTTTGCAAGCTGAACCTGGAAAAACTGCTGATATGGTTCAAAATCCTGAGAGCTGGAGAGCCTAGGCTATAGACACCAGTCCAAGTTGGAGGTCCTGAGAATCAGGAGCCCTGAGGGCAGAAGATTTATGTTTCAGGTCAAGCAGTCAGTCAGAGAAAAAGAGTGAATGTTCTCTTCCTCCAACTTTTTGTTCTATGGATTGGTTGGTGCGCACACAAATTGGAAGGCAATTTATTTTACTGAGTCTACCCGTTCCAATGCTAATCACTTCTGGAAACATTCAACAACACACCCAGAAAAAATATTTACCCAGATGTCTAGTATCATGTAATCCAGTTGTTACACAAAAATAACTATAACAAGTTCACCCCTTATCAACTTGGCACTAATATGCATCTTAAACCATACTTGATCTCCCAATAAAGATACTAACAAGGTCATAATTCTGCCTAACATGATACAAATATCCTGTGCACAAATAAAAACACACTGACCCCTTTCCCCAAAGAATAGGTAAACTCCTTGAGTGATGTTTACTCTTCTTGATACCACATAACTTAAGTACTATGATGTAAAATTATTGAAACTTAAAAATTATGATATATGACAAGTGAATAAAAAAGAAAACAAACCTATTTGAGAGATATACATATCTCTTTATATGTGTATGTATATATGTGTGTATATATAAACACACAGATACATATATATATACGTGCACAAACATGTTCATAACAAAATAAGAAGGAATACTCGTGAAAATTAGTCCTCATTCCAGTAACTGATCACATGGTTGTAGCTAGTATTTGCAACACCCTCTTCCACTACCTGTTCTGTAGCTCTTTGGATTTCAGCAAACCCCTCAGCTGGTTGTGCTTCTTTACGTGGAGGATGACCCACGCCTTCATTTCTGAAGGAATCCAAAGTGGCCAGGTGGCAGTCTTAACTTCCAGTTATTTGAAATCACTGTTGAGTCTCATACTGGAAGTATCCCTCCCTTTGGAAATAAAATCTCTAGACCAGTAGAGTGTAAGGTCTTGGAGACAGTAGGCACACATTGTAATCATGGGTCACTAAGGGTAATAGTAGCTGCTTCCACTCTCCTTTCTGCCACCTGATTCCTGAACTCATGAATTTCGGCTATCAGAGGAACAGTAAAATACACTGAATGCTGATTCAGAGCATACACAGCTTCTTGGAAAACCTTGCTCCAGCCTTGCATGATATTGCCGCCTAACTGGTGCTGTGAATGAGTGTTCAAAGGCCATTTTATTATTCTATCAAGACAGCTGCTTCAGGATGATGGAGAGCATTTTAAGATCAGTGGATTTTATAAGCATGAGCCTATTGTCACACCTTGGCTGTGAAATGAGCTTCTTGATCAGCAGCAATGCTGTTTGGAATAGTATAATGGCACGTAAGTCATTATGTAAGTTCACAGATGGTAGTTTTGATATTAGCATTGTGTGCAGAGAGGGCAAATCCCTATCTACAGTGTCTATTCCAGTGAAGAAAAAACGTTGTCTTTTCCATGATTTCAGCTGTTTAATGTAATCAACCTGCCACCAGGTAGCTGGTTGATTATGCTGTGGAAAGATGACATATCTGGACTCACTGTTGGTATCTGCTGCTGGCAGATTAAGCAACCAGCAGTGCTGATAGCCAGGTGGGCCTTGGTGAGGGGAAGCCCGTGTTGCTGAGCCCAAGCCTAACCTTCATCCTTGCCACCACTGCTAGGACTTTGTTCATGAGTCCATTGGGTGACGAGAGGGATGGCTAGAGAAAGAGGCTGCTGGTATCAAAGGAACAGGTAATTCTATCCTCTTGGTTGTTAAAATCCACCTCTGTAGAGGCGACCCTTTAGGAAGCACTTGCATGGGAATCAAATATCTTCATAGTTTTTGCCTACTTAAAGAGGGCTATTCACATACCTCTTCCCAACATTCTCTCGCCACCAATTTTCCAATCATATTCCTTCCAAGTCTCTTAACATGCAGCCAAACCATTGTCCACAGTTCATGAGTCAGTATATCATCTCATGCCTGGCCATTTTTCTTTCAAAACAATGAGGTGCACTGCTTAATATTCTACCCACTAGAGAGTTTTGTTTTCTATACTGTTCTTCAGGGATGTCCCAGAAAAGGGCTGTAATGCTGCAGCCATCCACTTTCTGATGGTGCTCCATATTGTATAGAACCAACTGCAAACCCAGCTGGAGTCTTCTTTCCCTGTCATAAAGGCAATGTAGTAAGAGTGGAAACCATGGGCACTTGGACCACTTTTTAATGTATCTTACTTGTGTTCTTAGTGCCTGCTGTGGGCTGATCACATAAATACACCACTTCCATTTGGTGATGCAGTGTTGCTGTGTGTACCCAACTTTATGGCTTGATGAGTCAGATAACAAACAGTTCAACATGGGAAGCTCAGATTGTATGGTAACTTGGTGGCATATAACTAAGCATTTGGTATTTACGAATAGCCTAGTAGCAGGCCTAAACTATTTCTCAACAGGAGAGCCGTTATCTGTGAATATGTCAGGGCTTTGCACCAAAATCCTAAGGGCCTGTGCTGTGACTCCCTCTAGGGGGCTGCCAAAGGCTCCAAACAGCATCCCTATTTGCCACTGACACCTCAAGTTTGATTTAACTTTTACAACAGTTTGTAATTCCATTTATATAAAATTGTAGAAGATTGAAGTTAATCTGCAGTGACAGAAAACATGTTAGTATTGTCTGTACTTGGAGGAGGGAGACAGGGCAGGATGGGAGGCAGGGTTATTATAAAAGAGCAAAGAAATCTTTGAGAATAAAAAGTACCAGACTAAATCTAATTCATCCTAAAACTGGCATATGTGGAAAAAAAAAGTCTTTTCTGGATTTAAATATAGTCTACTGCTTCAATGGAAATTACTCTTTTGCACCATTTTAAAATCACCTTTCACCGATTGTTTTTAAATTATACTGGTTTGAATCCTAAACCAAAAATATGTCTCATGTATTAAGTGAGATTTTTATTTTCTAAAGCATTCATTACTTGTTCATTTCTTATAAATAATGAAGGCTCTGTTATTTTTTGTTCCTACCTGGTAACATTAAAAAAATAAACATATAACACAACAAAGTTTTCGTTCTTCTTCTGAAAAAATTCAAAAGCATCTTTAAATCCTCAGGCTTCTCTTTTGCACTTTGCCTCTCCTTTGTTTGAAAGTTTTTCATCATTACTAGGTCAGGTTATCTTTCAATACCCAGTAGAGCTTTTATTCCACACAAAACCTCACCTTCAAATGACATGCCATTGGTTTCATTACCCATAATTGCTGCTACCTCTCAAAATAAAATTAAGAGATTTAATAAATCTTTAATGATTGTATAAAATACAAACAACCAGACTGCTCATGATTTTTTCTTTGACCCTCTGTTGAGTCCTTTCACTTGAGGATGGGTTTAAATTTCTATTTACTTTGATATTTATTGGAGACAGAAATTGATTTCAAGAAAAAAAAAAAGATAAACTAGTGGAGAAATAAATGTCTTCCCAGTCAGTATTTATACTGATACCCATATTTATTAAGGTGAGTTAAAAGGAAGATATAATAATTTCTAATAATGGCAGGAATCCTTTCTAAAATTAAAAAACTATTTTATAAATTAAGAAAAATAAATAAGATAAAATATAAAAGAGGACTCAGAAGATTCTGTATTCTTCATATTTCAAAGCATGATTTTACTTTTCAGTACAAATTTTAAAATTTCTTCAAATAATTGTAAAAAACTTAGTAGCCATTAAAAAGAAAACATCTTTCTCTAACAATTTATTTTTTTCTCCACAATGTCATATAATTTGTTTTCCATAAATAAAATAATTGAGATAGCTAATCACTATATAACACTGTGCATATGGTATGTGTTTTTATTTAGATTTTTATAAATATAGTACCTTATTCTTCTCATTGCCTTTTAGCTAATGAAAATAAAGCTCAGAAACATAAAATAAATAGCTCAGTATCACAAAGCTGATAAGATTAACACCAAATTTCAAGCCCAGGTCTTATATTTCCGAATCACAGGAGGAATAGGCAAGGACAAATTGGGGAATGTTGTTGTAGACCACAGGAGGGAAGCAAATACAGGAGATTGACTAATATGTTAGGCACTGTTTTGGCACATTGATTTCTGTTGTGATGTTATCATTGATCGAGCCTAGATAACATTCTTCTCAGTACTTGTTAAGGGGTTTCAATTTAATATTTAACGGAGAGAGAAAGAGACAGAATTCTGACTGAATTGTCCCTGAAATGTTGTGTGAAGTAAGGAGAGATCAGTAAAATGTTCACATATTATTAGATGGTAGGTATCAATTTTTTTTTTAAATCAGAAGAAAGTGGATTTCAGTAGAAAGCATTGCTTATTAAAACCATATACTTGTGTACATGTTTAGTTGTATTAAAATACAACTGCTTCAAATTTGTCTACCACAGTTGGGAGGCAGAAAATCACATTTATAATCTTACACTTTTTACTTAGATGGAAAACTATGATGTGTAAAGTTATTTTCAAATTACTGTAAAATTACAGTATTATTTTTCTTTCATTTCCTGATGATTCTATGAAACTGAAAATGCAGTTATGTTTTCCTGCATTGCTTTCCAAATCCAGTTTGGTAAGCTTCATATGTCACTGAAGTCATAAGATCAGAACTAATTTTTGGCATATAGCATCACTGTATTCAGGAAGGATGCAGAAGTTGACTGTGGGAAGACAAACTAATTGGGAATATTTAGTACAATGCTGAAGGCTGGGTGGGTATATTGACCAACAAGGGATACTGAGGCATATAAGCAATAACAATCGTAAAAAGTCATTAGCTCCTGAAGGTAGGAGCAAGGGGAAGAAGTGGTGTTACTAGAGCCCAGTGAGAGGAGGTGTATTAAAGAGATCACTTAATAGGAGCCATAGTCAAAGAGCATCTTGGACACTGATAAAACCCAGAAATGAGTGAGTAAATAAATAATCTGTTCTGCTTTCCTCCAGTGCTCTAGTCAGCTGTCATTATTGTTCTTTGTTCAAATCCATCTGCAAGGCAGAAGGCAGGATGTAGTTCATAATAGTCAGTCATCCAAGATCAGGGAATAGAAGGTCAAGAAAGTTAACCATCCACCACCATTATGTACTATGATGCAAAATCATCCAGAGAAGGCCAATAGGAAAAAGGAGTGGGTTGATGTAGTGTTGACATGCTTGTGTACAGGAGTATATGAGTTCAGTAAGTATATGTTCCCATTAAGTCATTTATTTTTAGTATATTTCAGAAAGAGGAGACCTGACATAAGGAAGCAAATGACAAAAAACACCTCGTACTTGGTCTAAAATTTTGAAGTAAGGCTTTTTAGAGAAGAGTGTATGTGTTCCTAGTTAACCTGTAACTATCTTTCACCAAATGCTCATATTGTACTTTTCCCTGACTTCTGAGGGGGAACCAACTCCTGTTCTTTGGAGTATCGTGCTATTTCACTGTATTTTAAGACTTCCAAAATATTATGAATCATTGTTCCTGTAAGATATTGATGGTTGTACCTGGAGACAGCTTTAACTCTTTCCATTACCCCAATAGTTCATGGCTATAAGATCATATTGTTTTTCACTCAATACTTCACTCCAGAAGCAACCTGCTTTATGCCAATAATTTTACCCCTCTAGATTTATCATAAAATAACTAAATTATTTCTAATATTGCTCAGAACTAAAACAATTACTAAATTAGATGTCAGATTCACCACTTAAAAGTAAATCATTTCATGTCATCTCATTTATCCATTTATTGAGAGAGGGGGGGACAGAGGTAGAGGGGAGACAGTGCTAAAAGCCTCCACAAGTCTTCCAAATTTTAAGCAAAATACAGTGAGTGATGGTGAGTTTGTATTTATCTATTATATAGTATTTTTAGGCAAGAAATACTTGTTATTTATTCTGCAGCTTCAGTCTTTCCAGTTAAGGTATTGTTCCCAAATCTGTTCTTTCTTTCACACCACCAAGGTGATTTCTTATTTGATTCTCTTCTAAAATTTCACCCATTTAAATTTCCTGTCTCTATTCTATTTTTCTTGCTTTTTTTGCAGAATATTTTGTTATTTTATTCCTTCCTTGCTTCTTTCCTTTTTTTTTCTTCATCTGTACCTTCTTTTGTTCACATTTGTCATATTAGTATCTTATCTTCCTTTTTAACCTTTTTTTCTCCTTCCTTTTCTGGTTTTTAAATAATGTTTTAAGCAGCATTCAAAATTTAAAAAAGGCACATTAAGTATTTGCAGGAATTAAGACATAAAGAAAACTAATGACATCATGATGTTCAAAATACATTTAACTTTTGCTCTATGTTTATGGAATGTAGAACAAGTATTTGATCTTAAGCCTCTAGTAGTAATACAAAGAAGAGGTCATATCATAAGATCCATAGCGTCTATAATATGAACTAAAAAGTCAATTAAAATCCAAGAAGATTCACTGACACATTCATTCCTACAAATGTATATTGACCACACATGTGCCAGAAATTGATCGAGTTTCCAGGACATGAAATTTGACAGAGTAAACAAAATCCTGTCTTCATGAGGCTTACATTTTCAGAAGTAGAAAACAATAAATGAAAATGTAAGCCTCATGAAGACATTCATGAAGACATTATTATATTTATAAATATAAATGAAATATTCTAGACTGGTACATGATATAGATAAAAATATAAAGAATGATAATTTGCCTTAACTAAGAATAAAAGGCAGTTTCTTTAGGGAATTCATAGACAGCGTGACCTCAAGCATTTTTGCAAAATATATTCTTAAAAGTTTACTGATAAAAAATGAGCATCAATATTATTTGTTGTCAGTTAGGAAAAAAAAACCCCAGCTTTTCCTAACAGCAATTCTGGAAATGCAGTTTGGCTCTTCTTAGGGAAACTTAAAACTTTAACCAAGATCTAGGCCTTTTTTAATGGCCACTCAAGTATTCAAGAACATAGATGGCTTTCTTTGTTTTCTGATTTGTCTGAATTTTACTAATTGCAAAAATCAATAGACTTAAACACTTTCTTGTTTAGCAAATATGTAATGTACTTTTATGACATACACCATTTTACAAATACCAGAAAGCAACAATATCAAATACAGTTAAAGGAAAATGCAACTAGTTCTCTTCGAAGCATTCAATGAAACATAATTTTTTATAGGTTTCAAGTACAGTGACATTTTTAGACAATAAAGCTAATGCTTGCTTATTTTGTTTTTTATTTTAAAAATATAGGTTTATCTGCATTAATAAAAGCTCTGATAATATATATGTGTATGCATGTACGTATATTGCATACTATGGCACATATTGCATAACATGTGCGACACACACAAACACAATTTCTGGCATTTAAAAGGCAGAGTTAGAACAAATAAATACAAAAAGGGTCTTTGTGCCACACCCTTGTGATTTCTGAAAAGAAATCATGAATCAGGAAACAGATAACCTCTTGTCTTACACTTTTAAATTTCTGTGGTGGTGTTGGTCATATTTTTTATTCTACTCTAATTTGGGATTGGAATTTTCAGTGTGTTATCACTTTATCAAACTTTGAAAATCAGATACATACTTAATAATAAATAATACATTCTGTATTAACATACTTCAAGGAGGAATATTAGTGAGTGCATGTGCCTGGAAGAAAAACGCCTCTTTAACTTCTTCCCTGGCTCTCTTCCAATTTAAATCCCGTATACAGCTCTATTACGCTGTCGTTTCCACCTACATACCCTCAGAGTTCTAGTGAAAACTACATCAAAAATACAGGCATTAATGTACAGAAAAGTTCCCTTCTATTGCCATTAGTCTTATTATATTCTGAACTGCCTAATTTTATATATATGACAATATAGACACATTGACTGTGCTAGAAAACCTCACTAGAAGAAGCCACTTGACACTGGGAGTTTAAGGGAAAAGGCAGTAAGAATTATAAGATGTGAGACAAAGGCAGAGAACAGCATTAGCCACACTCGCTGTTCTTACAGTGGAAATTACCCACCCTGGGTACTGAGTTTAATTGCTGCAAACAGCTCCAGAAGGCTGCACTTTCATCCCCATTGTAGGTCAATGAGCATATTTGCATGGTAGAAATTATTAGCAACTAGGCCTGTCCCCAGGAGAGTATCCATGATGCTATTCACAGACCATTAACAGCAGAGTTCACCCATGACTAGCAGAGGCTGTGAAGAAATGCTCTCTCCTTGGGAGCAACCATTAGTGGACGAATGCCATTCTCTTCAGACATATATATATTTTTTAATATACTTGTGCGACTCTTAAGGATTTTTAATAAAACTTTGTAATAAACCTAAACTAGGCATGTTACTGGAGCACTTCTTAGTTTTTTTAGATAAGCCGTTTCATAAACCCTTACTTGTCCTTTCAGGTAGAAGTAAGAGCGAGATTTTTGTTGTTATTGTTGATTTTCTAGAAAACTTTTGATGGACCAGCATAGATGAATGGAATCACTTCACCAAATCAATCCTACCCGATGGAGGAAAAAGTAAAAACAAAAAGGGAAAGCAAAGAGAAGGCTACATTGTTTTATATAAAAATGTAACAATAGCTTGCTGGGACAGAAAGGGAAAACAAAGAGAAGGCTACATTGTTTTATGTAAAATTGTAACAATAGCTTGGCTGGGCCCGGTGGCTCGTGCCTCTAATCCAAGCACTTTGGGAGGCCAAGGTGGGTGGATTACCGGAGGTCAGGACTTTCTGACCAGCCTGGCCAGCATGATGAAACCCCGTCTTGACTAAAAACACAAAAAATTAGCCGGGGGTGGTGGCAGGCACCTGTAATCCCAGCTACTCGGGAGGCTGAGGCAGGAGAATCGCTTGAACCTGGGAGGCATAGGTGCATTGAGCCGAGATTGTGCCATTGCACTCCAGTCTGGGCAACAAGAGCACACTCTGACTAAAAAAATTAAAAAAATAAAAAGTACAGTAGCCATACTTAGGAACATATATGTTTATCACAATAGGTGAGGATTCAGGTACGTTATTCTTAGAGAGAGTTTCTGTTAGATGAAGAAGAATCAAAAGAAGACACACACACACACACACACACACAGACACACACACATTTCCCCTGAACATGAAGAAAGAGAAACAATAGAAGACCGTGGCCAATGAAGAGGGTTACTAAAACCAGATTCTTAGGCATCAGAGAAGCAAGTGGCTAAATGGACTAGTTCAGGGCAAATTTTAGTTCCTTATCTCTATTTTCTCACCCCAAAGACTCTTCAGAAATAGGAAAATGATACAGGCAACTGCAAAGATTTTATATAATAAAGATTTCTGATATTATGTCTGAAAATAGAGGGAATTCTTTTTTAACTGAAAATTTGGTGACGTGTCTGGCTATGCACATGTATACATGTTGTGTGTGTATTTGTATAAATGTGTATTTTACACAATCATGGCCATTTATGATTGCTTTAACTATCTAACTCTTTGATTAGAGTTCATACTATTTGTATTAAAGATGTTCTGTTGGAATTTTTGAGGGGCAAAATAGTGGTAGAAAACTCGAAAAATTCTTAAGTGCTGAATCATGATATGTATTTTCTTCAGTTCTCATACAAATCTACACTTTATACTCTTCTGCAAAACTTAGACCATAATTCAGTACCATGTGTACTATACAATGTATAATGTACAATTACTTTTACAATGATGTAATAGTAATGTTTTCTATAAAAAAGTTAACCTCAGTAGCATCAATAAATCTAAGATAGTTGGATATCTATGTCTGCTCGAATTAACTGGATTTGTTCACACATCTGTAGTTCAATTAGCTATTGGTTAGTCTAATAGGGCACCAGCCTCACATGAGTAAAATATGACTGCTGTGTGTGCATCTTGCTTTTAACAGTCTAGGTGGTGTACGTCCTTCTCATGGTGGTGGCAGAGAAACTAGCACAAACAGAAATATGCAAACATTTTATTAAGCCTCTGCTTGTAGCATACCTTCTAGAATTTCAGTAGCCAAAACCAATCATGCAACCAAGACCGGAGACAAAATGAGAGCTTTGCAAAGCTATGTGACATAAGGCATGGATTGAAGAAGTGAAAAAGAAGAGCCTTTAATCTCACTTTATGCAACAATTTTATTTCTTTTCTTTCAATATATACCCAGCCTTAAAAAGTCAAATATGTTGCAGAGTATATATCATCTATGCCTTTTGAAACATTCTGTCCTTCACAATGTAAACTATGAAAATGGAAACATAGTAGGTATATAGTAAATATTACTGATCATTTGAAATTCTGAACTTTTTATGAAATTTACTTCAGTTTTAGAAAGTGGAGACAGATGTAGCCAGGCTTCTGAACATTTTTGATTGCAGTGGTTCAGATGTGACTTCTTCTGGTTCTCACTGTCAGCCATTCTGAGGGAAAGAATTAAAAAAAAAAAAGTTGAATATCACCAAATCGATCTCTTGCTACATCAGTTTCAAAGGAACTGCAAAAAATGTCGAAATTTAGAAAACCTAGTTCAGCAAGTGACTTCTCAACTCTTTCACCTTCAGGTCACGTTATTATTCATTCTACTAAGAACCAGACCATTAAAAATGGGATGATGCTCTTTAGAAATCTACCTATATGTGGATTTTAATCTAGGGTATCTTATAAACTTTAATGTGTTCTTTTGATAAATTGAGGCAAATCAGAAGGCCTATTTTAGGGTTCTACCTCCCACCTTACAATAGTAAATTATGTTTTTTTAGGTCACTCATCTTTAAAAAAGAATATGGTAAAAAACATATATTTTTAAAATTTCTACTGATACTGCATTGGTGATTAAAACAGAAAATTAAGACAGAAATGGTCAACACAAATGATGCTTTCAATATTTATTTACGTACCTCATTTTTTCATTTTAGAGTATTAAAATATCAAAATTATACAATCTTTTTAAATATAAAATTTAACGTAATAATGTTTTGATGACAATTGTAACTGAATTAAACCTTTAGTGTTTATATTTGCCTAATAGGCACCATGGGATAATAGAGAAAGGAAAAGTAAAGGAAAATTAAAGCAAGTAGGAGTATTTCAAATCTAAATATGAGATAACTAATATGGGAAATAAAGTCAGTATTGATCAATACAAAAGAGTTAGCTGTTAAAGCTTGTAAAATTATGAATATAAGGTCGTTCTAGAATAATTGTGAAAGATTCCATGAAAAACAAAATAGTGCAAAATTGAGCACACTCTTCAAAGTAATGTGGAGATCTAGCAACATTGTTAGGAAGGGAGGATTAAGCTATGTCTTGAGAAGAAAAATTTAGGATGCATAAATTTGACTAAAGAGAAACAAATATTTTGGAAAGAATAACATATTTCTAGTATTGGAATATCGTATGTAGGAAGTTTAGAAGTTTACCATGCTATACTTTTTTATTTGATGCCCCTAACGTTTCTGAATGCTGCATGCCACCCCTACTAAACTTTCAGTACCAACGTCAATTACACCTCTTTTGAGATATCATTTCTCAGACAGGAAGAATAACTGTTATCCACTGACTATTTTGCACTATAGTGCTTGTAAACATCCTTGCCACTAAAATTAATGAGAAAATCCCGGGGGAAAAAAAGGAAAACTGAATCCTCTACTACATTCTACTTAATGATTTTTTTCCCCTCAGTTATTTGATGCTGTTTATTGAATTACCCAACCTGCAGAACTATTATAATTCACCAGTAATCCAATATCCTGAGCTAGTCTGTTTAAAAGCAAAAAGTATATCATAGATTTATTGACACCCACAAGACTTAGAACTCAATACTATATGTGCTGTTTGACATTCTGTCTAATAATCTGATATGCCACAAACACGTGTAGGTTTTCACACATATCATATTTTCCTGCCAACCTAAGGACAAATTGCCTTACTATTTCGCTTCACTATGACCAGTCCACTTCCCCATTCTATGCCATTTTATTCCATTTTTACCTCATAAATGAAACATTGTTCTAAATTCTAGACACAGGGTACAACATTGGCATCCTAGAAAACTCCCTTGTCTTGGGTGGATCTTGCCCTAGTATCAATATAGAACCTGAAATGTGTAGAAAGTCCTCTTAGGATTATTTTTCAATAGTTTTCATTGATATGCTTTGTACAGTGATTTGGACCTTTACTGGTTATCATGAGGATCAAGACCAAAGGGGACATGAAAAACAAATTGAAGAGCAAACCTCAAAGGCATAATACAAAACTGAAGTTCCTGAGATTAGATGTCAATGCAGGTACCATCCCTTAGATTGGTCCTAGAAGTTCTAAGGAAAGGCAAAAGAATTAAAAAATGATCAGGAGATCACCTGAAAGAACATCAACCTACATTGAGCTGTAATGATAAATTGAAATATAAAAGCTAAATTGAGAATGTCAGAGCCAAATTATCTAAGACATGATAATAACCCAGACCATTGACTCTAAAGCAAGGAATTATAAATGGAATATAGAAGTAGCAAATTTAAGAAAATGAAAATGGCAACATTAGCATGTGTTATTGTAATTTAGTGCATTAAAAGATTAATATAATTATCAGGTTTGGATTACTTTTTAGTAGCAAATGATGGAATGACAAATGACAAAGATGTATTACAGGTCTTGCTCGACCTCCAAGTCTGAACAGTTGTTCCACTACAACAGTCATCAGGATAAATCAGCGTGGACCATACGAGGCTGGGATCTCTGTGGCAAAATTTAGTTCAGATAATTTCGAAGTTTTGATTAAAAATAAGATGTTGAAACAATGGATACGACATCACATATGAGTTAAAAATCTATGGAGATGGAGAGTACAACCTTAATTTCTGCACAGTTTTCAGTGCAATAAGACCTTTGGCAAAAAGAAAAGTATTTCTAGAAGTTGTTACTATTGCACACTTCGGGAGCTGAAAATTGTTCATTCCTATCTGAATCCTGGATTACTAGGATCCACCAAAGCCAAATATACCTGAAACATTATCATGGAGACAATTCTATAAGATGCTCTTCAAAAATATATCCTTCAAATAGTCTACCACTTTTAATATAAAATGTTATGCTCAAAACATGTACAATGAGTTGGAATGTAGAAGAATTGTTCTGAAATATGGACACTGATCTAAGACCCAACTACCTTGAGGCAGCCCAGAACCACAGGAGGATCTAGTTAGCCACTGGGACAAAACTCCAAATGTTGTACATATTAGTGAAATAATACACCTTCTACAGATGTTTTTCCAACTAGAAAACTAAGAGCACACACTGTCACTTAAGTCATACTCCCACGAGGTAGAGGAGGCTTGCCAAACCTAATTAATCTACGGTTCAAAAAGAAATGTGTGCACACCCAGCCTAAATAACAGCTAAACAAGATAACAGAGCTGACAGCAATACTTGGACAAGATTAAGAGCCACTCAGAAGAAATACCAAGACCTAAAGTCTACAGAAGAGGGCTAGTGTAGCAGAATTAGCTAAGAATGAGTTCTAATGGGGGAAGTTACTGTACAAGTACTGCCTCTAATATGGCAGAGTTATGATGGGCCAAAGATGATAATTCACACCAATAAACTCACCTCAGGGACTCTGATGTCCCAATCTCAGTCTTTTACTGTTCCAAAAGTGATGCACTTCTCAATTCTTAATAAAGAATATAATATTTTATTAAATCCCAAATTACTATAAAAACATCATTCTATTTATGCTGGAATCTTACAAATTTCACATACTATTCCATCATATTTCTTCTAATTCTGCTTCCACTCTTTTCTCTTTCTTTGCTTCCCTTATATTCTCTGCCTGAATTCATCCTCTCTCACTCTTTCATTTTCTTTCCTCCTATTGTTTATTGACAATATTTATTTAGTGTATGCTGGAGTTGATCTTATAGGCTAATCAACTGTGTCATATCTGTAAACATATGTTTCTAACTCTTAGCTATTGCCATCATTGCTCAAACAACTGATTTTTAATCAAATGTGTATGGATATATATATTTTTTTTTTAAATAAATATTTACTGTGTATTTACTGTAGGGTGGGTCTGCCTCTCCCAGTCCACTGACTCAAATGTTAGTTTGAGTCCTTTGGCAACACACCCAGGAACAATACTTTGGATCCTTCAATCCAGTCAAGGTGACACTCAGTATTAACTGTCACACAATAACACAGTTGAGTAGCTGGCCCTCTAAAGCCAAAATATTTATTATGTGTTTTTTTTTTTTTCATTAAAATCTTGCCTACTCCTGGTGTAGCTATTTTTGGGAGAAGGAACATTTTCATATATAGTACTCTCTTTGTTTGTGGATTTACTAATTTATTGCAAAAAAATAAGTATAAACTAGATTCCACTTGGCATTATAAAAGTAAAGTCAAATTGACAATAGCCCTTGCCATCAAGTAGTATATATTAGCTAGAATATAGTTAGAATACAGAGAATCTAGAGACAGGCTGAAAACTGCACACAGTGTAACCTGCCAAGAAACTCCCTAAGTTGAATTAGCCAATGAAACATTCTACTTTAGCATTGGTTCTAATATGTGTATTTCCATTACATATGTGCATATATAATGTATATACAAATATACATATTAATACACGCATATAAAATGGAAATAGAGGTATTAGAAATGGGTGTGTGTATATATGTATACATAAATATGTATATATTTTGTTTTCAATTTATTTTCAAATAGTTCAAGAATACTGTGCTTTTATTTTTATGTGGGCAACTTGTAAGCCTTGTGCACCAGGGCTCTTTAAATCTACCTGGTCACTTGGGAAGGCATCATTTTTAGACTCAAAATGGAAAGGGAATTCAAAACTTATTTGATCAATTATCTTTATAAATGCAAAATAATTATTTTCTTCCTTTATATGACTCAAAGATAAAATATACTCTAAAATCTCATTTGAGTCTACAGAGGGTAAGGTACAGATTTTAATGCAATGAGCCAAGGCACGAAAATCAGAATCCACTTATTTTAGAATGCAAGAAAGATGGCTATTGCTTTTTTTAATTTAATCAGGAACAGCCCAATATTTAGCTTCCACTGGTATTAAGGCAGTAATAATTTCAGTAATTTAGATTCTCCACAAAGCTTGTTCTCTAGATTTCTATACATAGAAGTAGTTGTAGGAGAAATCTCATAACTTTACTAGAATTCACCTTTATATGGAAGCTGAGGCAACTGTCAGTAATCTTTGTAAGTGTCCTTGGTGACTGCCAGTAACTTTCCTCCAACTTCTGTTCATTGATCTATAGTCTTAGCTAACCATAAGTGTATTTCTGAATTTTCTCTCTGTGTCAAGCATTTTATAAATCTAGTGAAAAGAGTGTGATTGCAACAATATCCATTGCCTCAAAATAGGTGACCAGGACATTCCAGAAATTATTACCTTCTTGGCAAATTGTATGAATGCCCTCTTGTCATCTGTTAGGGGGCAGAGAATAAGGAGTGTGAAATAGGATTTCAATTTGATAAAAATTTAGGTTTTATGTATGATCACTCAGTAAAGGGTTTTTTTTTCCTATTGAAACAAATTGTGATTGATCACAGTTGCAGAGCTATAAAATTTATTTCTTAATTTATGTAATAATTGCTGAATTTCATGTTATTTTGATTATTCTATTGTTTCCCCTCTTTGGCATATCAAATTTTTGCACCAAGACTTGGCGAGTGAGTGGGCGATTTCAGTGAAATTTTATTTGGGATGTACGTAAACTCATTCTGTTATGAAACTAAGTACAAAGGAGTTAAGAGATAATAAGGGGTGCAGTTATTAGCCCAAGGCAGTTGCCTCGAATCACTAATTTCCACCAGATTTGATATGACTTTATGACTCATTCAGGGATCATTTTTTATTCATAGACCTGTAGTTGAGCAAATAAGACCTTCTACATTTGCCTGACAGTTCAGTGTTTTTGAGATACCTACATCTCTTGCTTTCATGTCTCTCTTCACTTTCTATCCCCAATCTTTCACAATTATCACATCGCATGGTACTTGGTACATAGCAGGTGTTTTGGAATAATTGATTATATCTGTTCTAAATGGCAAAAACACTTTAAAAATTTTTAATTTCATGGGTATATAGTAAGTATATATATTTATGGAATATGAGATATTTTGATACAAACATACAGTGTGTAATACTTACACCAGGGTAAATGGGCTATCCATCATCTAACACATGTATCATTCATTTTTGTTATAAACATTCCAATTATTCTCTTTTAGTTATGTTTAAATCTGTGATATATTGTCGACTGCAGTCACCCAATTGTGCTATCAAATACTGGATCTTATTTATTCTATGTAACTGTATTTTTGTACCCATTAATCATCTGAACCCTCCCGACCCCCACCCCACTACATTTCCCAGCCTCTCTTAGCCATCCTTCTACTCTCCCTGAACAAGAGTCCAGTTTTTAAAATTTTTAGTTATAAAATGACATCACAAAATGAGAATATATGAAGTTTGTTTTTCTGTGCCTGGCTTATTTCACTTAAAATAATGACCTCCAATTTCATCCATGTTGTTTCAGATGAAAGAATCTCATTCTTTTTCATGACTGAATAGTACTCTATTGTGTATAGGTACCACAATTTTTTATCCATTCATCTGTTGATGGACGCTTAGGTTGCTTCCAAATCTTGTCTATTGTGAATAGTGCTGCAAGAACTATGGGAGTGCAGATATCTCTTCAGTATACTAATTTCCCTTATTTTGTGTATTTTCCTAGTATTGGGATTGCTGGATAATTTGGTTGTTTTATTTTTAGTTTTTTAAGGAACCTGCACACTGTTCGCCATAGTGGTTATACTAATTTGAATTTTCACCAACAACGTATAATAGTTCCTTTATCTCCACATCCTTGCCAACATTCATTATAGCCTGACTTTTAAATAAAATACATTTTTAATTAGGTGAGATGATAACTCATTATAATTTTGATTTGGATTCATCTGATGCTCTATGATGTTTAGCACCTTTTTATAAACCTGTTTTGTCTTTTTAAAGTTATGATTACATTTTAACTTCTGAGATACATGTTCAGAACGTGCAGGTTTGTTACATAGGCATACACGTATCATGGTGGTTTGCTGTACCCATGAACCCATCATCTACATTAGGTATTTATCCTAATACTATTCCTCCCCTACCCCCAACCCTCCAATAGGCCCTGGTGTGTGATGTTCCCCTCCCTGGGTCCATGTGTTCTCATTGTTCAGCTCCTACATATGAGTGAGAACATGCAGTGTTTGGTTTTCTGCTCCTGTGTTAGTTTGCTGAGAACGATGGTTTCCAGCTTTATCCATGTCCCTGCAAAGGACATGATCTCACCCTTTTCATGGCTGCATAGTATTCCATGGTGTATAGGTGCCACATTTTCTTTATCTATTCTATCATTGATGGGCATTTGAGTTGGTTCCAAGTCTTTGCTATTGTGAATAGTGCTGCAATAAACATATGTGTGCATGTGTCTTTATAGTAGAATGATTCATAATCCTTTGGGTATATACCCAGTAATGGGATTGCTGGGTCAAATGGTATTTCTGGTTCAGATCTTTGAGGAATCACCACACTGTCTTCCACAATGGTTGAACTAATTTACACTCCCATCAGCAGTGTAAAAGCGTTCCTATTTCTCCACATTCTCTCCAGCATCTTTTGTTTCCTGACTTTTTAATGTTTGCCATTCTAACTGGCATGAGATGATATCTCATTGTGGTTTTGATTTGCATTTCTCTAATGACCAGTCATGAGGAGCTTTTTTCATGTTTCTTGGCCACATAAATGTCTTCTTTTGAGAAGTGTCTGCTCATATCATTTGCCCACTTCTTGATGGAGTTAAAATACTTCTTCACAAGAAAGAGAACCATCAGTAAAGTGAGGAGACAACCTACAGAATGGTAGAAAATATTTGTAAATTATCCATCTGATAAGGGATTAATAAGCAGAATAAATAAGGAGCTTAGATAACTTGATAGGAAAAAAACAATTTAATGATCCTATCAGAAAGTAGACAAAAGATCTGAATAGGCATTTCTGAAAAGAAGACATAAAAAAGGCAAACAGGAGCATGTTCTAACCATGTTCAGGTTAATTCTACTTTCTAGTAGAATCACTAGATTTTTTTTTCCCTATTCAGTTGTCTGAGCCCCTTTTTTATTCTGGTTATTAGTCCTTTATCATATGGATAATTTATAAATATTTTCTCCCATTCTGTGGGTTGTTTCCTCACTTTATTGATCGTTCTCTTTCTTGTGAAGAAGCTTATTAACTTCATGAGATTTCATTTGTCCATTTTTGCTTTGGTTGCCTGTGTTTGTGGGGTATTACTCAAGAAACCTTTGCCCAGACCAATGTCCTGGAGAGATTACCCAATGTTTATTTTTAGAAGTTGTATAGTCTGAAGTCTTAGACTTAAGTATTTAATCAATTTGGATTTGATATTTGTATATTGCAAAGATAGGGATCTAGTTTCATTCTTCAGCATATGGATATCCAGCACCATTTATTGAAAAGACTGAATGTATATTCTTGGCACCTTTGTCAAAAATGAGTTCACTGTAGATGTATACATTTATTTCCAGGTTCTCTATTTTGTTTCATTGCTCTGTGTGTCTGTTTTTATGGCAGTACCATGCTATTTTGGTTATTATTGCTCCATAGTATAATTTGAAGTCAGGTAATGTGATTCCCCTAGTATGGTTCTTTTTGCTTAGGATGACTTTGGTTATTCTGGATATTTTTGCAGTTCCATATAAATTTAAGGATTATTTCTTCTGTTACTCTAAAAAATATCGTTGGTATTTTGATAGGAATGGCATTGAATCTATACATTCATTTGGATAGTATAAACATTTTAAACATATTGATTCTTCCAATCCATGAACATGGGCTAACTTTGCATTTGCTTGTGTCCTTTTTAATTTCTTATATCAATATTTTATAGTTTTTATTGTAAAGATCTTTTAGTTCATTGGTTAATTTAATTTCAAGGTATTTTATTTTATTTGTAGCTGTTGTAAAAGGGGTTACTCTCTTGATATCTATTTCAGATTGTTCACTGCCATCATGCTATTTCAGATTGTTCAGTGATTTTTCTATGTTGAATTTGTAGCTTGAAACTCTACTGAATTTGTACATGAGTTCTAATAGCTTTTTGATGGAATCTTTAGGCTTTTCCATGTATAAGATCATATCATCTTCAAAGAAGGATAATTTGACTTCCTCCTTTCCAATTTGGATGTCCTTTATTTCTTCCTCTTGTTTGATCACCCTAGCTAGACAGCCAGTAAAATGCTAAATAACAGCGGTGAAAGTGGGCATCCTTCTATTGTTCCAGATCTTACAGGAAAGGCTTTTGACTTTTCTCTGTTTTATATGATACTGAGGGTCCATTGTATGTGGCTCTTATTGTGTTGAGGTATGTTCCTTCTATACCCTGTTTTTTGAGAGTATTTAAAGATTATAAATGGATGTTGAATTTCATCAAATAATTTTCAAGATAAATTGAAATGATCGTATAATTTTGTCCTTCATTCTGTTAATATAATGTATCAGAATTATTGATTTGCATATGTTGAACCATTGTTGCATCCTTGGGATAAATTTCAGTTGGTCATGATAAATGATCTTTTTAATGTGTCGGTGATTTTGATTTGCTAGTATTTCTTTGAGAATTTTTGCATCAATGTTTATCATTAATATTGGCTTCTAGTTTTCATTTTAAATGTGTCTTTGTCTGGTTTTGGTATCAGAGAAATATTGGCCTCATAGAATGAGGTTGGAAGTATTGCCTCCTCATCTATTTTTCAGAATAGTTTGTGTAGGACTGATATTAGTTTTTCCTTAAATGTTTGGTAAAATTCAGTAGTGATGTCCTTGAGTTCTTTTCTTTGCTGGGAGACATCTTATTATGCCTTCTATCTCTTCACTTGTTATCAGTCGCTTCAGGTTTTGCATTTCTTCATTGTTTAATCTTGGTAGGTTATATGTGTCTAGTAATTTATCTATTTCTTCTAGGTTTTCTAATTTCTTGGCAGAAGTTGTTATAGTGATTTCTAATAATCTCTAGGATATCTGCGGTATCAGCTTTAATGTCTCCTTTTTCACTACTGATTTTATTTATTTGCATCTTCTTTTTTTTCTTAGTCTAGCTAAAGGTTTGTCAATTTTGTTTGTGTTTCAAAAAAATAAACTTTTTATTTCAATGATTTTTTTCTTTCTTGTTTCAATTTTATTTTTGCTCTGATGTTTATTTTGTTTTTCTTCTACTAATCTGGGGTTTGGTTTGCTCTTGCTTTTCTAGTTTTTAAGATGCATCATTAGGTTGTTAGAAATTTTTCTACTTTTTGATGTAGGCCCTTATTAACTTTCCTTTAACTACTACTTTTATTGTTACCCCATAGGTTTTGGTATATTATGTTTCCATTTTTATTTACTTAAAGAAAATTATTAATTTTCTTTTTAATTTCTTCATTGTCCCTCTGGTCATTCAGGAGTATACTGTTTAAATGTCCGTGTGTTTGTATAGTTTCCAAAATTCCTCTTGTTATTGACTTCTAGTTTGTTCCATTTTGGTCACAGAAGATTCTTGATATGATTTCAATTTTTTTCATTTTTTAAGACTTTTTTAACTTATTTATGATCTATCCTTGAGCATGATCTATGTGGTGGGTAGATAAATGTGTATTTTACAGCCATTGGATGAAATGTTCTGTAAATATCTATTAAGTCCATTTAATCTACAGTGTAGATTCAATCTGATGTTCATTGATTTTCTGCCTGTATGAGTTCTCCAATGCTGAAAGTGGGATTTTGTAGTCTCCAGCTATTATTGTGTTGGGGTCTATCTCTCTCCTTAGCTCTAATAATATTTGCCTTATATATCTGGGTTTCCCAATGTTAGGTACATGTATATTTAAAATTGTTATATCCTCTTGCTAAACTGACCTTTTTATCGGTATAGAATGATCTTTGCCTCATTTTATAGCTTTTGTCTTGAAATCTCCTTTTCTGATAAAAGCATAGTTACTCCTGCTTTTTTTGTTCTTATTTGCTTAGAATATCTTTTTCATCCCTTTATTTTCAGCCTATGTGTGCCTTCATAGATGAAGTGTGTTTACTGTAGGCAACAATCATTGGGTCTTGTTTTTGTGTTATTCACTTATCCACTCTGTACCTTTTGATTCAAGAGTTTAGTTCATTTACATCCAATGTTATTATTGGATATAACATTATTATTGTTAATAATAATATTAACATTATTGTTAATAGTATTAATATTATTACTATTAATAATATCATTACTACTAATAATAGTATTAATATCATTAATATTAATAATAGTATTAATATTAATAGTGATGATATTAATAATAACAATACTAGTATTAGTAGTAATGATTATTGAACTATTAATAGTATTAATATTATTATTAACAATATTACCACTATTAATATTATTAATATTTTGATGTATCATTAATATTATTAATATTAATTATTTTAATTCATCACCAATATTAATTTTAATAATGTTATTGATATTATCATAATATTAATATTAATGTTAAATCCAATGTTAGTATTGGATATATATGAGTAAGTAGGGACTTACTCTTGTCATTTTGCTATTTGTTTTCTGGTTGTTGTGCGGTCTTCTCTTCCTTCCTTTTTTTCTTTTTGTTAAGATAATTTCCTCTGTTGCTATGTTTTAATTTCTTGCTTTTTATTTTTTGTGGATTGGTTGTAGGTTTTTTTTAGATTTGAAGTTATAATGAGGATTGCAAATAACGTTTTACTACCCATTATTTTAAACTGAAGACAACTTCGCACTGATTGCAAAAACAAAGAGAAAACTAATAAAAACTCTACACTTTAAGTGTATCTGCCTACTTTTTAACTCTTTGTTCTTTCTATTTATATTTTATTACACTATGTCTTGCAAAAGTTGTAGTTATTACTTTTTTTAGCTTCATCTTTTAATCTTTAACTCAAGGTATGTGTGGTTTACACACCAACATTACAGTGTTATAATCTGTGTTTGTAAAGTTACTACTATCAGTGAGTTTTATACTTTCTGATGATTTATTACTGCTAATTAATGTTCTTTTCTTTCAGACTGAAGAACTCTCTTTAGCATTTCTTGTAGGACAAGTCTGGTGTTGATGAAACTTCTCAGGTTTGTTTGTTTAGTAAAGTCTTTATTTCTCCATGTTTTAAGGGCCTTTTTGTTGGATATACTATTCTAGGATAAATGTTTGTTTTTCTTCAGCACTTTGATGTGTCTTGTCACTCTCTCCTGTCCAATAAGGTTTCCACCAAGAACTCTGTTGCCAGACATACCGGAGCTCTTTTGCATGTCATTTGTTTCTTTTCTCTTGCCGCTTTTAGGACCCTTTTTGTACTTGATTTTGGGGGTTTGAGTATTAAATGTTTTAAGGTAGCCTTATTAGGGTTAAATTTGCTTGGTGTCAATAGCCTTCTTTTACTTGGATATTGATATTTCTCTAGATTTGGAAAGTTCTCTGTTATTATCTCTTTGAATAAATGTTTTACTCATAATTCCCTCTCTCTCTACTTCCTGTTTAAGGCCAATAACTTTTAGATATATCCTTTTGAGTTTATTTTCTCAATCTTATAGTCATTCATTATCCTTTCTTTATACTTTTATCTGTTATCTTCTCGAAGTGTTGTCTCAAATTGCCTGTCTTTACGCTTACCAATCTTTTTTTTTTTTTTTTTTTTTTTTTTTTTTGAGGCCGAGTCTCACTCTGTCACCCAGGCTGGAGTGCAGTGGCATGATCTTGGCTCACTACAACCTCCATTTCCCAGGTTCAAGCGATTCTTGTGCCTCAGGCTCCTGATTAGCTGGGATTACAGGCGCCCACCACCAAGCCCAGCTATTTTTTGTATTTTTAGTAGAAATGGGGTTTCACCATATTGCCTGAGCTGGTCTTGAACTCCTGACCTCAAGTGATTTGTCTGGCTTCGGCCTCCCAAAGTGCTGAGATTACAGGCATGAGCCATCGTGCCCAGCCAATTTTCTTTTTTTGCTTCATCATTTCAGATGTGGAAAGACTCTAATGCTTTCTTCAGTACATCAATCAAATTTTTCAGCTCCAGAATTTCAGCTTGACTTTAAAAATCATGTCAATCTCTTTGTTAAATTTATGTGATAGAATTCTGAAATTCTTCTCTGCTTTATATTGACTTTTGTTGAGCTTCCTCAAGACAGCTATTCTGATTTCTCTATCTGAAAGGTCACATAGCTCTGTCACTCTGGGGTTGGTTATTGGGGCCTTATTTAGTTCATTTGGTGAGGCAATATTTTCCTAGATGGTCTTCATGCTTGTGGATGTTTGTCAATATATGGACCTCAAAGAGGCAGGCATTTATTCTAGTCTTTGCAGTCCAGGCTTGAGTGATTCAATTCTTCTTGGGACGTCTTTCAAAGTATTCAAACGGTATTGAGTGTGAGCTAAGTCTTTGGTCCCTGCAGCCCCATCTGGATTGAGGGACACTCGAAGCCGAGTAATGCTATGAATCTTATAGACTTATAGATATACTCCCTTAGTGGTCTTGGATATGATATGCAAGATTTCTCTGAATTTTCAGGCAGAGAGTCTTCTCTTCCCTTCTTTCCCCCAAACAAATGGAGTCTCTTGTTCTCAGTGCTGAGCTGCCTGGACTAGGGGTAGAGATGACACAAGCACTCCTGTGGCCACCATCACCAGGACTGTGCTGGGTTAGATCTGAATCCAGTATACTACTGGGTCAAACCCAAAGCCTGTGGTGAGTATTGCCTGGCTACTAGCTGATGTTTGTTAGAGGCCTACAGGCTCTTTAGTCATCAGGTGGTGAATTCAGCCAGGCTCGTGTCATTTTCTTTAGGCTGGCAAGTTACTTTATGGCCCAGGGTGGGTCTAGAAATGCTGTCCAGGCGCTAGGATGTGGAACTTTAGTAAGCTATGTGGTGCTTTATTTTACCACAGCTGAGCTAATACCTAAGTTGCAAGACTAAGTCCTTTTTACTTGTTTCTCTCCTTTCCTCAAGCAGGAGTCTCCCCCATAGCCACTGCAACTTCAAATGTGCTGGAGCCAGCACAGTACTAGACCTCACCCAAGGTCCATGGTGAGTACGACCTGGCTACTGCTGATGTTTATTCAAGGTTCAAGGGCTCTTTAGTGAGAAGATAATGAGTACTGCCCAAACTAGTTACTTCTTTTCAAGACAATGTATTCCCTTTAGGCCAAGGGTATGCCTAGAAATGTCACCCAGTAGTTAGGGACTGGACTGGGAGCTTCAGGACTCTGCTTGGTGCTTCATTTCACTGTGGCTGAGCTGATTTTTGGTTCTTATGAAGGTGCGTTTTTGTGTTTGGATAGTTGTTCAATTTGGTGTTCCTGCAAGGGGTACAATCACTGCAGGGTTCTATTCGGCCTTCTTGCTTTGCCTCTATCCCGTGTTTTAGGTAAGAGATACACAGCCTATTCAAATACAGATATCAAATGTCAAAGGCTGTTCTTCCAAGAATGTGGTTGGGGCCAGCAGCTAGGAATGTGGTTGGAGCCAAAAATAGCAGGACCAGAGAAAGATACCAAAACCCACCTCTGGCCACAAATGGGTGAGCAGCTACTTAGGAGGGCTTCTGAGACTCTTGTACCCCACGGGAAGGCTGATGTTTTAAAGGCCTCGGGTAAACTAAGTGAAAATCTCCATTACTGCTGTTGAAGCAAAGATTCAGTGACTATTGCTTGGATTTATATATTGAAAGAAAGTAGACTGCAAGGATTCTATCTATGGACCTTTATGGTAGTAAATTCTTTAATTTCAATTAAATACTATTGTTTTACTTTACCTCGGCAAATATAGTTCTAAGTACACTCATACTTACGTAACTAGTGTAATAAGCATTTTGTATGATTACATAATTTATAAAATATTTTCATTTGTTTTATCTTCATTTGTGTCAGTCACTCATGCTGGAATTTGTGTAGAGAATATGTTATTACTCTTCTGTTATGCTGGTGAAGAAACAAAGGTTCATACATGTTAAATACCCTAATCAAGGCTATACAATAACAGTGAACATAAAATAATATAAAGTCTCCTAAAACTATTTTGCAAACTATATATGCTACTGAGATAGAGCTAGAACTCTAATTCAGCTTCTGCATATAGCTATCTCGATTACAAAGTTTTAAATAAATTATTCCATATAATCATATATTCTACAGATACGATGCTTTCCTGATAAACATTTTGCTGTTTACTAAGTTTCTTTTTTGAGTTTTAAATATGTGCGCTGATATGACGTTAAAAGTATGACATGGTTTGTGTGGCTTATCTTGAAAGCATACACATTCGAGTATTTTTTATTATAGTTTCACTAATTTCACCCTTTTCTGAATTCTCTACTGGCTTCCTACTAGCTTCCTTATTTCCCTAAAATAATTAGAGTTTAAACATCTCAATTTCCAGGAGGACTGTTGCTCCCATTTTAAAAGATGGCTTGTCAATAGAGCCAGAAAGAATTTTCTAATTATGATACTTCATAACATCTTCACTATATCTTTCATTATATAAAAAAATGACACCACTGACAGTGATTACACATCTCCATTCCACCTCAAACTTCACAGTAGTCATCTTTGAAAGAATACCTAGTGCAACAATGTTTGCACTTTCCTAAATTATCAGGCATTGGCAAATACTTCACATCTCATCAAATATTTTACTGAGTAATGTGTATCTTTGAAAATGGACATCAGTCACCAAATTACACTAAAATTATAAAAACTATAGAGAAGCAACAGGCTGCCAGCTACCGGACATGCACAGAAATGGAGATTTGAGAAAACATATATTATCTTTGATCAGCAAAAATTATGATAATCAAAACTTAGCATTTAGTGATAGACATAAAATAAATATATTGGGGAAACTGGCTACAGATGGTATGAGGTATCTATGTCTATGCAGATAGTGCATCAAAGAAGTAGCTTTAGAGCAGAACACTAGTTCACAATTATCTAAGACAATAAAGAAAAATTTGTTTACAGGTAATTAAGCATTATTATTAATTTGAAGAATGCAAAAACAATACTGCCAAATAATGCTAGTGTCAGTGGAAAGACATTTTACAAATACTACAAAACCTTTATGATGACATGCAAATTCAAAGATCACAATACAATTTGCAATAAGAGTAGTACAAATTCATTCACAAATTCAAAAACTATATTGAATTGGTATGTATATATAAAAGGGGACATTTGGCAAGACATGGTGGCTCATGTTGTAATCCAGCCCCTTGAGAGGCTGAAGTGGGAGGATTGCCTGAGCCCAGGAATTTGAGACAAGTTTGGGTAACATAGTAAATCCACATCTCTTAAAAAAAAGTTAGCCTGGCATGGCTTGACACACTTGTAGTTCCAGCTACTCAGGAGGCTGAAGCAGGAGAAAGGCTTGAGTCCCAGAAGTTGAGGCTTCGGTGAGCCATGATCATGCCACTGCACTAAAGCCTGCGCAACAGAGTTGAGACCTGGTCTCAATACAAATAAAAATAAAAGGAACAATTTAGAAGTTTTTAATGAAAAATTCTACAAAATATCTGACCACTTATCTGTAAATTATATATTTTCATCTAAGTAATGATAAAAACAAAAATTTTGAATTTTGGAAAGTTATATATCTCTCAGAAGACATCAATTCAACTATTTCCAAATTAACATAAGAAATAGGCTGTCTTCTTCGCTGAGACTCAACTCTCCAATATACACAGGCTATATGACTTTGGGCACATTGATAACTATTCAACATATGAATTGTCGCAAATTTCACATACTAATTTAAATGACTATTACTTAAGATAATACACACAAAAATTTACATAGTTGTAAGCTACAGTACATATTTGTGCTAATTTAATTTTTTTAGTTCTCTTTCATAGTTTACTTTTAGAAATGTTGATATTGATAATTTATTTTTGTCATTATGGAAGTTTTTTTTGTCCTGTTTTTGTGGATAAGGGCCATTGATAGCTTTCAATATTAAGTTGAAGTGATTTTCTTTAAATGTTTGCTGTTACTAAATCTAGATATCTAGTTGTTCTGAGAGAAAGGAAAAACAGTACTCATAAATGTTAAGTAAAACTTTCGATGACAATGATTCTATGTGATACATCTTTGTGGTAAAATTAGTACATATATAGTCAATAGCATTTTTTTCCATTTCCTTCAGTTTATTCCCCATTTAGAGGTATTGTTATACAAAAACGTTCTAAACCAGAAAATAATTTTGCTGTCATTTAGTCTATTCTATGGCATACAGATGGCAAAAGTATGAGAAATTTTGCTCCAAAGGAAAAAGATAAGATTAATTATGAATAGAGAAACTATAGCTGTTTTCATATATATTTCAAAATATAAATATAACGTATGAATCTGTACTTTATTTCATATAGTTTAAATATAGTTTTCATATAATTAATGATTATTAAATTTTAATTACAAGTTTAGCTATTTTTATTTTTGAAAATGCTCCTAAGATTATTTTGCACAAGGTTTTCAATTAACACTTGTTTCTACTGAGTCTCTAAAAATGCCCATTAATTTTAATTTTGTTGTGATTTTATTTTTTCTTCTTCTAACATTATTCCTATCCTTAGCTTATCAATAATTTTCAGTAATGACACATCACAATAATATAGTGTTGTGATTTTTTACATTATCTATTTAGTAGGGATATGCTTCAGCTTAAGTCTCTTTTTTCTTGATATATTATTGTATTGGATTTCATATTTTAGAGTAAGTTCTTTCCACACACCAAACTCATTAATAATTTATTAGTTATCTTATGGATGTAGAATAGAAGTATATTACTCCTTTTGTTAGAATTCCATTTCAAAAAACATTAAGGGACAGGATACATTTAATAAACTTTTATCGTAAAAGTTCCAGAAAAGGAAATTCTTATTTATACAAATATGTTATTAATGTTTTTCATGTGTAGTGCCAAATACGATACTGATAGATTGAAACAAGACAATTATGTTATCAAGTTTAACCTTCTGTGTAATATCTCCTTTGGCATCTGAAATAATGCAACTTAACAGAACAAATTTGTTAGTATCTTTACTGGGCATAAGCTGGCATAGGATTTCATAGGGCTGAATATTTTGAGAGATGTCAAAAAAATGAATTCAGATTCTCTGATCTTAGGTCTGAAAATTTTAGTTATGAGGGGTTGGCAACTTACACATTGCAAGTTAAGTAACAGTGAATGTGACAAATAAAACAATGTAATTATCAAATAATTGCCGCTACACCTAAAGCAGAATGACAACCATGAACTGGAAAATCCAAGAAAGCATGGAGTTATCCTATGTTAAAAGGCTGATTTCAAGACATTAGGAATGGAGATCAAGAGTGAATAAATTGTGAATGTGTTGTCTTCCTTTGTTGGCTCTTGGCTTGGCTATTGTTGATGTATAGGAATGCTGGTAATTTTTGTACAGTGATTACGTATGCTGAAACTTTGCTGAAGTTGTTTGTCAGCTGAAGGTGCTTTTGGGCTGAAATTATTGGTTTTCTAGATGTAGGATCATGTCATCTTCAAGCTGGGACTTGACTTCCTCTTTCCCTATTTGGATGACCTTTATTTATTCTCCTGCCTGATTGCTCTGGCTAAGACTTCCAACACTATGTTAAATTGAAGTGGGTGAGAGAGAGCATCCCTGTCTTTTACCAGTTTTCAAGGGGAATGCTTCCAGATTTTGCCCATTTAGTATGAATTTGGCTGTGGGTTTGTCATAGATGGCTTTTACTATTTTGAGGTATGTTCCTTCAATACCTAGTTTATTGACAGTTTTTAACATGAAGTGGTGTTGAATTTTATTGCCTTTTCTGCATCTATTGAGATAATGTGGTTTTTTTGTCTTCATTCTGTTTATGTCATAAATCACAGTTATTGATTTGCATATGTTGGACCAACTTTTCATCCTGGGAATGAAGGCTACTTGATCATGGTGAATTAACTTTTTGTTGGGCTTGTAGATTCGGTTTGCAAGTATTGTGTTGAGAATTTTTGCATCTATGTTTATCAAGGATATTGGCTTGATCTGTCTAATACTGTCAGTGGAGTGTTGAAGTCTCCAACTTTTATTTTGTGGGAGACTCTCTCTCCTTGTGGGTCCCTAAGAACTTGCTTTGTGAAATTTGGGTGCTTCTGTGTTGGGTGCTTATATATTTAGGACAGTTAGTTCTTCTGGTTGAATTGAACTCTTTACCATTATTTAATTCCTTTCTTTGTCTTTTTTGATCTTTCTTGGTTTAATGTCTGTTTTGTCTGAAATTAGAATTGAAACACATGTTCTTTTCTGTTTTCCAATTGCTTGGTAGATTTTCCTTCATTCATTTATTTTGAGCCTATGGGTGTCATTATGTGTGAGATGGGTCTCTTGAAGGCAGCATACCAAAGGATCTTGTTTTTCTATTTACCTAATGAGGGAAGTGAAAGGTCTCCACGATGAGAATTACAAAACACTGCTCAAATAAATCAGAGATGACACACACAAATGAAACAACGTCCCATGCTCATGGATCAAAAGAATCAATATTAAAATGTCCATATTGCCCAAAGCAGTTTATGATTCAGTGCTATTCATATCAAACTACCAATAACAATCTTCCAAAAATTAAAAAAAAAAAAACAATTTTAAAATTAATATGGAATCACGAAAGAGCCCAAACAGCCAAGGAAATGCTAAGCAAAAAAAACAAAGTGGAGGCATCATGTTACCCAACTTCAAACTATATTACAGGGCTACAGTAACCAAAACAGCATGGTACTGGTACAAAAACAGGCACACAGACCAACGAAATAGAATAGACAGCCTAGAAATAAGGCTTCACGCCTATGACCATCTGATCTTCAATAAAGCTGACCAAAACAAGCAATAGGGAAAAACTTCTTATTCAATAAATGATGCTGGGATAACTGGCTAGACATCTGCAAAGACTGAAACAGGACCCCTTCCTTATACTATATACAAAATTCAACTCAAGATAAAGACTTACATGTAAAACCTAAAACCATAAAGAAACCCTTCAAGACAACCTAGGCAATACCATCCTGGACATAGGGATGAGCAAAAACTTCATGGCAAAGATACCAAAAACAATTAGAGCAAAAGCAAAAATTGGCAAATGAGATCTAATTAAACTTAGTTCCAGCACAGCAAAATAAACTATCAGCAGAGTAAACAGACAACCTACACAATGGGAGAATATATTTGTGAACCATGCATCTGACAAAGATCTAATATACAACACTGTATCAGTTTGTTCTTACACTGCTATAAAGACATACCTGAAATTGGGTAATATATAAATGAAAGAGGTTTAATTGACTCATAGTTCTGGTGCTATACAGGCTTCCGCTTCTGGGGAGGCTGCAGGAAACTTACAATAGTGGCAGAAGGCAAAGGGGAAGCAGGCACATCTTTATATGGTCAGCAAGAGGGAATGAGATAGAGATAGAGATAAAGAGGAGGTGCTACAAACTTTTAAACAAATAGATCTCAGGAGAACTTATCGCAAGATCAGTAAGGAGGAAGTCCACTGCCATGATTCAATCACCTCCCACCAGGTCCTCCTCCAATACTGGAAATTACAATTTGACATGAGATTTGGATAGCTACACAGAGGCAAACTATATCGTTCTGTCCCTGGCCCTTACCAAATCTCGTGTCTTTCTCACATGGCAAAATACAATTATCTCTTCTCAAAAGTCCCCCACAGTCCTAACTCATTTCAGCATTAACTCAGAAGTCTACAGTACAAAGTATCATCAGAGACAAGGCAAGTCCCTTCCATCTATAAGCCTACAAAATCAAAAAGAAGTTAATTACTTCCAAGATACAGTGTGGATATAGGCATTGGGTAAATATTTCCTTTCCCAAAGGAAGAAAATGGCCAAAACAAAGTGCTACAGATCCCGCGTAAGTCTAAAACCCAGCAGGGGAGTCAGTAATTCTAAAACTCCAAAATAATATCCTTTTGTTTCATGTCTCATATCCAGGCCACAGTGATGCAAGGGGTAGTCTCCCAAGGCCTTGGACAGCTCTACCCCTGTGACTCTGCAGGGTACAGCCTCTGCAGCTGCTTTCATGGGCTAGCATTTGGTGCCAAGTGCACAGTACAAGTGGTTGGTAGATCTACCATTTTCAGGTATGGAAGATGGTGGCCTTCTCGTAGCTCCACTAGGCAGTATTCCAGTGGAGACTCTGTGGAAGCTCCAACCGTACATTTCCCATCTGCACTTCCCTAGTTGAGGTTCCGCATGAAAGCTCTACCCCTGCAGCAAACTTGTGTCTAGACATCCAGGTGTTTCTATACATCCTCTGAAATCTAGGCAGAAGCTTCCAAGCTTCAACTCTTGCCCTCTGTGCATATGGAGGCTTAATGCCATGTTGAATTCACCAAGGCTTGCAGGTTGCACCCTCTGGAGCCGTGGCCTGATATTTGGGGCCACTGAGACAGCTGGAGCTGGAATGACTAGGATACAGGGAGCAGTGGTCCCAAGGTTTTGCAGAGCAGCAGGGCCCTAAGCCCAGCCATTAAAATCTTTCTTCCCTTCTAGACCTCTGGGCCTGTGATAGGAGAGGCTGCCATGAAGGTCTCAGAAATGTCTTGGAGGCATTTTCCCCTTTATTTTGGCTACTAACCAAAATAAAGCTCCTCTTTACTTATGCAAATTTCTGCTGCCTGCTTGAATTTTTTTTTTCTTTTCTACCACATGGTCAGGCTGCAAATCTTCCAAACTTGTATACTTTTCTTTCCTTTTAAATACAAATTCCAATTTCAGGTCATTTCTTTGCATATGCAGATGAGCATAGACTTTCAGAAGCACCCAAGCTTCCTCTTGAACACTTTGCTGTTTAAAAATTTCTTCCACCACGTACCTTAAATCATCTCTCTCAAGTTCAAAGTTCCACAGATCTCTAGGGCAGAGCCACAAGGCTGCCACCCTCTTTGTTAAAGCATAGCAACAGTGACTTTTACTCCACTTCCAAATAAGTTCCTCATATCCATCTGAGACCACCTCAACCTGAATTTAATTGTACATATCACTATCAGTAATGTTTACAGCCATTCAACAAGTCCCTAGGAAGTTCTAAACTTTCTCTCATCTTCCTGTCTTCTTCCAAGCTCTCCAAACTGTTTCAACCTCTGCTTGTTACCCAGTTTCAAAGTAGCTTGCATATTTTAGGAATGGCCCTACTTCTCTGGTACCAATTTTCTGTATTATTCTGTTCTTACACTGCTATAAAGACATACCTGAAACTGGGTAATTTGTAAAGAAAAGAGGTTTAATTGGCTCACGGTACTGTGAGCTGTACAGACTTCTGCTTCTGAGTAGGCCTCAGGAAACATATACTCAGAGCAGAAAGTGAAGGGGAAGCAGGCACACCTTAAAATGTCTGGCAGGAGAAGATGGGGGAAGGTGCTACACACTTTTAAACAAGCAGATCTTAGGAGAGCTCTGTCACAAGAACAGCAAGGGGGAAGTCCACCCCCATGATTCAAACACCTCCAACCAGGTCCCTCCTCCTCCAATACTGGGAATTACAATTTGGTTTGAGATTTAGATGGGGACACAGAGCAAAACTATATCAAGCAACTATAAGGAACATAAATAAACTTTAAAAAATAAAAGCAACCACATTAAAAAGTGGGCATAGGACATGAACAGATACTTTTCAAAAGAAAACATACATGTGGCCATCAGGCATATGAAAGAGAAGCTCAATATCACTGATCATTAGAGAAATACAAAGCAAAACCACAGTGAGATACGATCTCACACCAGTCAGAACGACTATTACTAAAAAATCCAAAAATAACAGATGCTGGCAAGTTTTCAGAGAAGAGAAAAGCTTATACACAGTTAGTTGGTAAGAGTGTAAACTAGATAAACTGTTTTGGAAAGCAGTATGGTGATTCCTCAAAGAGCTAAAAGCAGAACTCCTGTTCAAGCCAGCAATCTCATTACTGGGTATATACTCAGAGGAATATAAATCATTCTGCTATAAAGGCACATGCACACAAATGTTAATTACAGCACTATTCACAATAGCAAAGACATGGAATCAACCTAAAAGCCCATCAATGACAGATTGGATTAAAAACATTTTTCAACATATACACCATGAAATACTATGGATTCGTAAAAAAGAACTAGATCATGTATTTTGCAGGAACATGGATGCAGCTGGAGGCTATTATCCTTAACAAACAAATGCAGGAACAGAAATCCAAATACCACACGTTCTTATAAATGGGAGCTAAATGATGAGAACTTATGAACACAAAGAAGGGAACAACAGACACTGGGGTCTACTTGAGGGTGGAGGGTGGGAGGAGGGGCAGGAGCAGAAAAGCTAATTGTTGGGTACTGAGCTTAATACCTGGGTGATGAAATAATCTGTACAACAAACTTCCATAACACAAGTACACCTATATTAAAAACCTTCATATGCACCCCCAAACCTAAAATAAAGTTTTTTTTAAATGAAAATACATGTGTAATTCTCAAGAGACAGTGATAAAATAACACTGGGAGTAATAGAATAGGGTTACTGTAGGAAATAATGCCTACCTACTGTTTGATGGCCGGCATCCTTTCTTGCTAAAAGTATTTTCTTTAGGAAATTTCTTCTCCCCAAATTCTCAGCCACATGGTTCATATGGAATCCATGTCTTTCCTCATGACAGTAGTCAACCAAAATTTACTTAAGGCAATAAAAATAGTTTCTCTTTGGTCATGGTGGTGATTGGCTTAGGAGTGGATATATGACATAAGTTAATTCAATAAAGTAAATGTCTTAATTTTTTCTGGGAATGCTTGGATATAATTCTATTATTTTCTGAAAAACACCAATACCAAAGTATATTTTGATAATTACCACTGGCAGTAGTCTTGGAATTGATGAAATTATTTTTATAACCAAAACATTAATCAGCCAAAAGGTTATGTTAACCCAGCAGAAATGGGGTAAGAGATAAATTTAGATGGTGGTGATTGAGTGCTGCATCAAACTATACCTGAGCTTAATATGCCTCTGTGTTTTTCAGTTATATTAGCAAATTAACTTTCTTCTTTAAATTAAGCTATTTCGAGTTGAATCACTGGCATGAAAATAATCTTACTATATAAGACTAGCATTTATTTGGCAAAGGTTTGAGGCCAGACTGTTCTAAACTTGGAATGCTTAGATACATCATTCTAAAATAAACAATGAGAAAATATTGAGAAATTATGAATTAAATACTCATAAAATTAAAATATGTTGTAATTTCTTTAACAGAATTTTGTAAAATGCATTAAATAGAATGTATATTAACAAAATGAAAATTACTCATGTCTAAAATGCATCAGATATTAAAATAAAGTGATTATTGATAAGGAAGGAATGTGAGATATGATTTGAAAATATGATAGAAAACATACATTGAGGTTATATGAAATATATTGAATATATTAAATATGTATTGAATATATCAAAATATTTTTTGTTTTGGTTTTGAAATTTATGTAGACATTTGTCATATTTTTATTTTTGCTAACTTGAAAATGTGTATTGCTTGTCTTTAAAGTACATATGTGTAATCCTAAAACCATGCAGAACACATGCCCTTGTCAAAAACAGCTTATCAATTAGATACCTTTGCTATTTCCATATCTGCTATGGCCGAAGGGTCCTATTGTCTCATTTTTAATAACTAATCCTTATTTGTCTAGCTCAATATATCATTGGAAGTTGTACATAGAAGAAAAGAGGCATTTCCAATGGCATACATAATTCTCCTGAAATTTGTGTTTATGTGATGTAAGCTACACAGGAAAATACAGTAAATAAAGAGCAATCACAAGTACTATATTGCAAAGAGTAGATAATTTCATAATCATATACTTTGAGTGATTCTTTATATCATAGGGCATGAGAATAAAACTTCATCTACAAGACTTCTATTCTTTTTTTAATTTTTGTTTGTTGTTTCAGGTGCAGGTGGTTTTTGCCTTTCCACTTACGTTAGGTAATGAAAAGACGAAGGATAGCTCTGTTGTGGTTCTGTTTGATAACACAAGAAACTAGTCAGATGGAAATGAAAAAAAGAACAGAGATGAGAACAGAAAGAGTACATCTTTTAAAATGCCTTGGGACAAGGAAAAAAAACTTTCTGTTTACTCTAAACTAAAAATAAGAAATTGTAGCCACATATAATTGGAATAGTGGGGTTATAAATGTTTATGAATAATATTTTATAATATTAATGTATGTTATATAGCACAAATTATAATGTGTGCTTATGACAATGTAGATTATCCTTATGAAAAGGAAGACAAAACCTAGGCATACCTATTTTTAATATGGTCATATTTAAGAGATAATTTTTTCTCTAAATAAATAATAGATACTTCAATGATTAATAGAGTACACTTAAGCAATGACTCAATGTTCTATGAAATAGATTATCAAAATATCCAAAAATACACTATACAGTGGATACTGAAAATATTATGTTAATTAAAGCTGAGAAACAATACAAATACTTCACCAAAATAATAAAGTGATTTTGTCAGCATAAATCCAATAGATGTATTTTGTGGAAGAAAGACTTGGTTTGGGTGTTTGAAAGCTTGGATCATTGGGCTTCTGCCAATCACTGGCCATGTGGCTGTGGATGAATAACGTAAGATTAGAGAACTGTTTCCTCATCTCTAGCATGAAGTGATTAAATAGTATAATTAATGAGATCAGTTTAACAATGATGAGCTATCTATCCATCTATCCATCCATCGATCTATTTATCTAGACATATACCCGTAATCCTGGTCTCCGTCATCCCTATTTATTCAGAGTCTGTATTACAGGTTGGCTTCCTCAGAAAGCTGAAGCTAAAAAGGAGTTTAGCACTCCTGGGATCGATATTCCTGGGGAGAGGAGAGCGTAACAAGATTGAGCAGAGAATTGGACTTGTAGCACAGATACAATAAGACTTCAGGTGACACCACAGAGAGAGATGAACTGAGTTTGCTCTTCAAAGAGTTTCTAACTTTGAGCCAAGGGGTCTGGATTCTATACCCTGTATCTAGAAGTCAATGAACACAGGTTGTCAGTGCACAAGATATGTCATTGCACAAAGTAATTTTGAGCTGAGGCAAATCCTAAAGAGGACGGATATCTGAGGACAGTTAGATGAGAAACTTTTTGACGGTTTGGATAAATTCTTTAGTTGTGAGGGAGGGACCTGCATGACGCAACACATAGATATGATGTAGACAATGTCTGAAGTATCTCAGTTTCTCAAAAAATCCACTCGTCTTCTTGAATATTGAGATTGTGAGCAGGAATAAGTGGAGTGTTCAAAGCCCTTTGAAAAGCTAACCTACTCCATTAGTGGAGTATGATGTAATAAGTTAATTTTCATTTTAAGATTGGTCATAGTATAAATTACTCACAATTTATAAAGCCTATGAGTCAAAACCCTCCCTGTTCATTCTAGAAATATGCCTCTATTCCTACGAGGAAGTATTTTTCACAGACCCAACACATCTTTTCATTAAAAATAATATTTTAATGCCTTTTTTATTACCCTAAAATGAAAGTCATAGATAATATAGCCTATCTGTAAATGTAATTTCAAAAGATCAATATAACACCATAACTATAATAGAAAGGAAAAATAAGAGAAAAGTCATTTATAATAAAATAACATATGTTTCAATATGTAAATATTCAGGCATGACAGCATTAGAAGATATGGTTAAGCAGTCAGGTGCATGACCTATAAATCAACATATATAAGTATCTGATTGAATATTTAGTAGTAATTAAATACCACTGGAGGATATACTATCAATGAAATGGTAACCCAAATTGAAGGCACGCTAAGTAAATTCCTGAACAAAACAAATTAAAATCTTCTTTCCACATTGCTAGTATTTGCATATTCTGGAGACTTACTGTATATTAAAATTATTAAAAAAGAGTTCATATGTAAATAAAATTAACTTTTAAGTTTAGCTCATTATGAATATATTTTGTATCTTTATGAATATCTGGTGATGTATTAAAACATATATGAGACAAGGGACAGTTCTTTGTGTTGGAATTGTTGAAGACTGCATTCTTTGCCAACTTGTAAAATTCAAATATCCCATAATCACTAGGATAAACAAAAACGCTCCTCATACATGCTTATTGTCTCCAAGGGCCAATACTACCTGGTTGATCATTACTCCAGATTGTCTGTTCAGTCCTACAGTGTATGGAGAAGCTGCTAAGCAAAGGTTCTATTTCTGGCTTCTATATATGAAATTTCAGCAAAGTCACTGTATCATCACTCTCTCTTAAAAGGCTGGGCACACTAATTCTCAACTACACCTTGTTTGTTAAAGAGTCTACAAAGAATCCCATTTTCTTACTTTATTCTCATTAGGCATAAGATGGCAGCGAAATTGCTTGAGATATTGTGATGAAATGGGTGCTACTCAGACTGGGGACCTGTTTAAACTCCTACTTTCCCACTTAAGAGCTCTACAATCAGTAGGTCAATTAAATATCCAGAGTGTCCATTCCCTGATCTTTTCATCAAAAACACTACCAACATCCATGTTTATTGTGAGAATTAAAAGAAAGAATGTGTTGCAACCCCAGCAGTTAGTATAGAGTTTGAGCAGCACATAGTTACTGATGCTAGAATTGGAAACTACAAGATAAAAGAGAGAATAACAAATAATAAGTATAGATAGAGAAGTACCTAAATAGACAGGGTTGTTACAGGATCTGTCTATAGATATATCCCTACATTTATGGGATCTGTAGATAAGTATTGATTGGAAAATATTGGGGTGGGGGAAGAGAGAGAATTGGACTCAAACATTTCTGTGTGACAAAGTCTAATTATCTCTCCTCTTTCTAGCTCTGGCATATTACTAGGATGTCTCATAGGTAAGGACACGATATGATTTATCAGCCAACATAAGATTCTCTGGAAATGGGACACTCCTAAACTCTTAATAATTATACTAGAAAAACAGGCACAAGGCCAGGAGGGCACCATGCAAGTTAGGACCCATTGTCACCTCAATTATAAGTCATATTATCCTGCCTAGGTTGGTGGGTATGGTTGAAATAACCTTGACATATTTGACATTCTGCTATTGTATTATTTCTTGTTGCTTACCTCATCAGATTTATTTTCTTTATATTTATTTCTTTTTTATTTTAATTTTGATTAGTGTCATTCTTGTATTTTATTTTGTTATATTATTTTGACCCCAAATTTGATAACATTAAAAATTGTGGTGCATGGTATTTTACTGGTTTTAGTAAATGTTGGCATATTTTATTATTAACTTTTGTATATATAACATGTAAGCAATTACTTTAAAAATTATAATCTGTATTTAAATCTTTTGGACTCAAGCATTAGGTAAAAATTTATTTTATTTATTCATTATTTTTCCAAATATTACATTATTTTTAAATAGTATTATTTTAATAGAGATTAAATTCATTAATTTTATAATCAAAACACTATAAGCTTTAGAGTCATATTGACTTAAGTTAAAATCTCTGTCCCTCTACTTTTTTTACTAGTGCACAACCTTGGTCAAATTGTTTATTCTCAACTAATTTGAATTTCTCGTCTGGAAAATGTGGATTATAACATCTACCTTGTAAAATTGTTTAAAATAAGAATATACAAATTTTGTTTATAGATGATTCCTTTAAACATGCAATGGCTTAATTTTTTATGCTTTAAACTATTAAGGGTAAATTAGGTTTGTAAAATCATTGTGATATATTTGATATCTTTCCACACTACACATGCTTATAAAATCATTACATCTTCTCCTGTGAATTCAGCCACCATTTCTTTGCCAATAGCTCTAAAATGTTTACTTTCATCAAGCTTTTCCTGTTACCAAATTCCAGCACAATATACACAACTCCATACTTCAGAGTTCTTTAGTGTCCTCGCGGCACTACCCTCTGCCTACTTTCCAAAGCTCAGTTAATGGCACCATTACCTCCTCTGTTGTCCGAACAAGAAAACTGGAAGAGATTTTTTATTGTTTTCTCCTCACACTTATTGCTCTATATCTATTTGGTAAATGAAGCCAGCTAATTTATATTTCTATAATGAATAAAAGCATGATCCCTTATTTCTATACATCTTTAAAATCATCTCTCATCATTTTTGCACATGATGATTTATTTTTTGTTTTCTGTGTTCCAAACTTCTAAGTGGCCACTCTATTTTGAGCAATACCCTTTTAATTCCTCTGCCCTCACTGTGGCCAGAATGAGCTAAATTCCAGCACGTCTCTCCTTTGATTTTTTAACTGTATGTATTCAACAAAATGTTCAGATTTTTTTCCATGACATACAGAATCTATACCTGATTTGGGTCTCTCCTATTATAATTCTCTCTCCTCCAATTCTACATTTGCTTTCTACTCTAAATAAGTTATATGGTAAAATTTTTACATTTTACTGTCACTATGAAATATGCAGCCTCCTCATCTCTGGCCCATTTAATTCAACTGTTCTTCCACGCTCAACTGCTTACTTCCTCAGCAGGAAGACAAAAAATTTAGGATGTCAAGTGAAATTAAGATTTCATATAAACAAAAAGTAATATTTTAGCGTGAGTATGCCATGTGCAATAATTGGAACATAATTATAGTAAAAAGTATTAATATTTTACTTTTATTTGTTACATCTGGCACCTCTTCTCTTTGAGAAAGTCTCTGCTGAGAACCCTTCAAGAATACTTGCCATGTCCATATATTAAAAGCATACACATCCTATCATATGTTTGACTGTGTTGAATGTGTTTAAATGTGTTTGCCTGCCAGTAACGTGTCTAGATGAAACAACTAAAATTGAAAAATTCCCGTGGATCTCTTTTTAAGCTTTCTAAATGAAGAGTATACTTTCATCGGGAGAAGCTGGATTGAATTGTAAATACGACTTTATTATTCAATATTGATACTTATTTTCCTATGATTAATATTTTAAGAAATTTGATTTTATATAGTGCTTATTTTTCCTTATAAAAGTATAGAAACTATCGGCATTAAGAGTAATTTATTTTGTATAAGTTATCTTTAAGGTTTGTAAGACATTATAAATAAATGATTTTTCTGGAATCTATTCTAATGTGTGCATGTCACAAATACAAATGTCAAAAATGTAGTCAATTTATGTACAAAGGAGTACTCTTTAAAGGAGAATACACAGAAAATGAAAATGCAAAGAAAGAGTTTTGAGTAAAATATGCCCAAATTTACATAAACATATAATTTATTATTTTAGTAGGGGTGTATTTGAGTGGAAGGAGAACAAATACTATTAATCATTACACCAGAACACCAGATATTATCAGGGAACCATCCCAAGCAAACAAGGGTGTTTGGTCAACATAGCAAGAATCCTCTGCATCTATATATACAGCATCAAAATAACTTAAATGTGTATTATTTGATTTGAATATATCATCTGACTATTACTAGCTTAGGTTTGGTCTGGATCTGAAATACAGACAATCAGAGGTTTTGAATTCAACCTCAAAACTGTGGATGTATAACACAAAGGCCTCCTTCCATTGTGCTATTATTAATTAATAACTCTAGTGGTCTGGAGGAAATAAATATCTAAGCACTTAAGCGATGTAAATTTATACCAAAAACATATCAGAAGATGTTATGATGTAGTACTTTATTTCAAAATGGATGGAGAGTTTATGACAGAGCTAGGGTAAGGAGACTGAATAAAGCAGAACAAATATAAATCACTGATTTAAAAACATATATTTTTGACATAGTATGGAATGAATGGTATAGCTGCATCATAAATACAGACTTGATTTCTCCTACTTGGAGGTTTTCTAATATCTTTGAACAAATTTAATAATCCACTCCTCAAAATCATATATTTTATAATTTTGGCTGTTTTAAACATATTGGTAATTTTAATATATTTAAAATATTATAGTTAATACAAGAGCATGTTTTCCATATTTTTATGTTAAAAACCATTTTATTTAAATAGGAATAAAATGTAAAAGATATAACACTGACAATCTAGTTAGTATTCTTTTAATAGTGAAGATATTAGGAAGTCATCTTGTATAAATGAAATAATATATGCAGTTATTTCACTTATATATTTACCATCCTAAGAAGTGAAGAGCAAAAAAAACATGCCGCCTAATTTATATAAATTGACTGACATTTGTTAATATATTCATATCTATGTATAAATTAATTTTATATTAATTCAAAATACATTACTTTATCTTCACTGCACCTTTAAGGGTTATGAATACTCTGTGAGAAAAATAAGTATCACCAAGTCTAAATATTTACAAAATAATGTAATACAAAATGAAAAAACAATTATCAGGCCTCTCATATTATAGCAATTAGATGAGAATAACATGCATTAATCTATGTATCAATTTTTATATTTCCTTATAGTTTAGATTTCATTCTTTTTATATTCTCAATATGTAAAATATCTCTTAGTTAGGAATTCTATTATATTTTAACTCTACTTCCACTTAACTAATATGATGTAGCTGACTAGTTTCTTAGCAGTCACTATGTACCTAGCAAGGAAGGTTGGATTAAGGCAAGTGGTAGGACAAAAAGCAAGCTGTCTCTCTTACTCATGTGTGAACATATGTATTATAGGTAATAAAGGATGAATAAAAGAGTATATTTCCTGTTTATTACATTGAGATTAATTTTGGGAAAAGGAAAATATTAACCTGAAAATATACTAAAGTATGATATCAGGTTATTAATAAGTAATATACAAGATAAAATAATAGTCTAATTAGTATATATATATTCACAGTTAAAGAGATCAAAACGCATCCATAAATTTATATTTTAGCCCTTATGAATACAATATTTGCCTTCAAATTACATTTAAAACCATTGTTATATTTCTCACAAATTTTTGACAAAATGTAAAAATATGAAATAAAATAAAAATAAATCTTAGTCAAAGAGAATAATTTATTTGTCTGGCCTAGGACTTTCAGTACTACACTGAATGAGAGTGGTGAAAGTGGTCATCCTTTTCTTGCTCTAATTCTTAGGGGGAAAGTTTTCAGCTTTTCCCCATTCAGTATGATGTTGACTGTGGATTTGTTGTATAGCTTTTATTATTTGGAGGTGTGTTGCTCCAATTCCTAGATTGTTGAGAATTTTTATCATTACAAGATGTTGAATTCCATCAAATGATTTTTCTGCATCTATTGAGATAATCATATGGTTTATGCTTTTAATTCTGTTTATGTGATGAGTCACATTTATTGATTTGCATATGTTTACCATACTTGTATCCCTGGAATAAAACTCACATTATCGTTTTCATGTTCTGTTGGACTCAGTCTGCTTGTATTTTGTTGAAGATGTTTGTTTTCCATGTTCATCAGGGACACTGATCTGTAGTTTTCTGTTATTGTTTTATCTTTGCCTGGCTTTGGTATCAGGGTGATACTGGCTTCAGAAAATGAAATAGGAAATAGTCCTCTCTTCTTTGATTTTTTGAAGTTTCAGTAGGATTCGTACCGTTACTTCTTTGTGCGTGTTATAGAACTCAGCTCTGAATCTGTCCGGTCGTGGGCATACAGTAAAAGTCCAGACTTCATCATTAAGTAATGTATCCATGTAACAAAACTGCACTGTACCTCCGAAGTGTATAAAAATTTTTTAAAAAGTAAAAAACAGGGAAATTATTGTGAAAATTGTGGTATGTCTTTATAATAACATTCTGCCATTGGAAAATTACACATTCAAAAATATTTAATTTAACTCATTACAATACTCACAATAAAATACAATATTAAAAAGTCATGATGTTAAACTATACATGTAATACAAGTTTTATAACTAAAATCTATTATATATGATTTTTTAAAAGAACAATTTTATACTTAGATTAAGCAAGTACTATATAGTTGATTCAGAAATACATAGAGACAGATTATTTGCAACAAATAGCCAATTATGTATTCTTCACAATTTTTTAATAGCTAATTTTTCATAAAAGGTGATAGTTATGAGAAATTAAAGCAATAACTACTATATTAATGTATTTCTGAACTCTCCATTCTGGAGAATATCAGGAAATATGAGAAAAAGACAAGCAAAAGCAAATAATCAACAGAAGAACATAAAATTCTTTGGTCTTGTCATTTCTGTTGCAATTCCTGTGTTGAATTAAAATATTAAGGTGCTCTCATGAGAAGACAGTATGATTCAATGCGATTATGTTTTACTAAAATATAAACTTTTTTGTTTTGTTTTGTTTTCGAGGAGGAGTCTCACTCTTTCGCCCAGGCTAGAGTGCAGTGCAGCGACCTCGGCTCACTGAAGCCTACCCCTCCGGGTTTAAGTGATTCTCCTGCTTTAAAAATCATCATATGGGAATCAAACAAACAGAAGAATAAGAGGAATAACATATACCCTTTCTTAAAAAAACATGGGATATTAAACGATATGAGGTAAATTATCCCTTCGAGTCATATATTTTGGCATCTAATTTATGTAACATCTCTTCCATTAAAAGAAGTACTTTTTAAAAGGGTAGGCTTCAGTGGTCTTGTCATTGAACAAAAATTTTGTATTCACTATAAAATAAAATATTATCATTCTTTAAATTTTGTAATTAAGGCTCTTTAACTTATTTTGGTAAAGCAATTTGAAGTGATCTTTATAAAATTCTTTTTTAAAAAATTAACTTTAAGTTCTGGGATACATGTGCAGAACATGCAGATTTGTTACATAGGTATACACATTCAATGGTGGTTTGCTGCACCCATCAACCCATCATTAGGTATTTATCTTAATGCTAACCTTTACCTTGCCCCCCAACCCACCGACAGACCCTGGTGTGTGATGTTCCCCTCATTGTGCCCATGTGTTCTCATTGTTCAACTCCCACTTATGAGTGAGAATATCTGGTGTTTGGTTTTCTCTTCCTGTGTTAGTTTGCTGAGAATGATGGTTTCCAGGTTCATCCATGTCCCTGCAAAGGACATGAACTCATCCCATTTTATGGCTCCATAGTATTCAATGGTGTATGTGTGCCAAATTTTCTTTATCCAGTTTATCACTGGTGGGCATTTGGGTTGGTTCCAAGTCTTTGCTATTGTGAATAGTGCTGCAATAAACATACATGTGCATGTGTCTTTATATTAGAATGATTTAGAATCCTTTAGGTATATACCCAGTAATGGGATTGCTGGGTCAAATGGCATTTCTGGTTCTAGATCCTTGAGGAATTTCCACACTATCTTCCACAATGGTTGAACTAACTTACATTCCCATCAACAGTGTAAAAACATTCCTATTTCTTCACATACTCTCCAGCATCTGTGGTTTCCTGACTTTTTATGATCACCATTCTAACTGGCGTGAGATGATATCTTATTACAGTTTTGATTTGCATTTCTCTAATGACCAGTGATGATGAGCTTTTTTTCATATGTTTCTTGGCTGAATAAATGTCTTCTTTTGAGAAGTGTGTGTTCATATCCTTCGCCCACTTGTTGATGGGGTTGTTTTTTGTTGTAAATTTGTTTAAATTCCTTGTAGATTCTGGATATTAGCCCTTTGTCAGATGAGTAGATTGCAAAAATTTTCTCCCATTCTGTAAGTTGCCTGTTCACTGTGATGATAGTTTATTTTGCTGTGCAGAAGCTCTTTAGTTTAATTAGATCCCATTTATCAATTTTGGCTTTTGTTGCCATTGCTTTTGGTATTTTAGTCATGAAGTCTTTGCCCATGCCTATGTCCTGAATAATAATGCCTAGGTTTTCTTCTAGGGTTTTTATGGTTTTAGGTCTCACATTTAAGTCTTTAATCCATTGTGAGTTAATTTTTGTATAAGGTGTAAGGAAGGGATCCACTTTCAGTTTTCTGCATATGGCTAGCCAGTTTTCCCAACACTGTCTATTAAATAGGGAATCCTTTCTGCATCGCTTGTTTTTTTTGTCAGATTTGTCAAAGAGCAGATGGTTGTAGATGTGTGGTGTTATTTCTGAGGACTCTGTTCTGTTCCATTGGTCTATATATCTGTTTTGGTACCAGTACCATGCTGTTTGGTTACTGTAGCCTTGTAGTATAGTTTAAAGTCAGGTAGTGTGATGCCTCCATCTTTGTTCTTCTTGTTTAGGAGTGTCTTCACTATATGGGCTTTTTTTTGGTTCCATGTGAAATTTAAAGTAGTTTTTTCTAATTATGTGAAGAAAGTAAATGGTAGCTTGATGGGGATAACATTGAATCTAAAAATTACTTTAGGCAGTATGGCCATTTTCACGATATTGATTCTTCCTATCCATGAGCATGGAATGCTTTTCCATTTGTTTGTATCCTCTCTTATTTCCGTGAGCAGTGGTTTGTAGTTCTCCTTGAAGAGGTCCTTCACATCCCTTGTAAGTTGTATTCCTAGGTATTTTATTCTCTTTGTAGCAATTTTGAATGGGAATTTACTCATGATTTGGCACTCTGTTTGTCTGTTATTGGTGTATAGAAATTCTTGTGATTTTTGCACATTGATTTTGTATCCTGAGACTTTGCTGAAGTTGCTTATCAGCTTAAGGAGTTTTTGGGCTGAGATGATGAGGTTTTCTAAATATACAATCATGTCATCTGCAAACAGAGACAATTTGACTTCTCTCTTCCTATTTGAATGCCCTTTATTTCTTTCTCTTGCCTGATTGTCCTGGCCAGAACTTACAATAGTATGTTGAATAGGAGTGTTGAGAGAGGGCATCCTTGTCTTGTGTCAGTTTTCAAAGGGAATGCTTCCAGGTTTTGCCCATTCAGTATGATATTGTCTGTGGGTCTGTCATAAGTAGCTCTTATTATTTTGAGATATGTTCAATCAATATCTAGTTTATTGAGTGTTTTTAGTATGAAGGGCTGTTGAATTTTATTGAAGGCCTTTTCTGCATCTATTGAGATAATTATGTGGTTTTGTCATTGGTTCTGTTTATGTGATGAATTACATTTATGATTTGCATATGCTGAGCCAGCCTTTCATCCCAGAGATAAAGTCAACTCGATGATGGTGTATAAGTTTTTGATGTGCTGCTAGATTCGGTTTTCCAGTATTTTATTGACGATTTTTGCATCGATGTTCATCAGGGATATTGGCCTGAAATTTTCATTTTTTGTTGTGTCTCTTCCAGGTTTTTGTATTAGGATGATGTTGGCCTCATAAAATGAGTTGGGAGGAGTCCCTCTTTTTCTATGTTTGGAATAGTTTCAGAAGGAATGGTACCAGCTCCTCCTTGTACCCCTGGTAGAATTTGGTTGTGAATCCACCTGGTCCTGGTGGTTTTTTTTTTTTTTTTTTTTTTTTTGGTTGGTAGGCTATTAATTACTGCCTCAATTTCAGAACTTGTTATTGGTATATTCAGGGATTTGTCTTTTTCTTTTTCTTTTTTTTTTTTTTTTTTTTTTGAGACGGAGTCTCACTGTCGCCCAGGCTGGAGTGCAGTGGTGCGATTTCAGCTCACTGCAGGCTCCGCCTCCTGGGGTTCACGCCATTCTCCTGCCTTGGCCTCCCAAGTAGCTGGGACTACAGGTGCCCGCCACCTCGCCCGGCTAATTTTTTGTATTTTTAGTAGAGACGGGGTTTCACTGTGTTAGCCAGGACGGTCTCGATCTCCTGACCTCGTGATCCGCCCGCCTCGGCCTCCCAAAGTGCTGGGATTACAGGCGTGAGCCACCGTGCCCGGCCAATTTGTCTTTTTCTTGGTTTAATTTGGGAGAGTGTTTGTGTCCAGAAATTTATCCATTTCTTCTAGACTTTCTAGTTTATTTGGATAGGTGTGTTTACAGTATTCTCTGATGTTAGTTTGTATCTCTGTGGGATCAGTGGTGATCATTTTTTATTGTGTCTATTTATCATTTTTATTGTGTCTATTTGATTCTTTTCTCTTTTCTTCTTTATTAGTCTAGCTAGTGGTCTATGTATTTTGTTAATCTTTTCAAAAAACCAGCTCCTGGATTCATTAATTTTTAAAGGGTTATTTGAGTCTCTATCTCCTTCAGTTCTGCTCTGATCTTAGCTGTTTCTTGTCTTCTGCTAGCTTTTGAATTTGTTTGCTCTTGCTTCTCTAGTTCTTTTAATTGTGATATTAGGGTGTTGATTTTAGATCTTTTCCACTTTCTCCTGTGGGCATTTAGTGCTATAAATTTCCCTCTAAACACTACTTTAGCTGTGTTTCAGAGATTTTGGTATGTGTGTCTTTGTTCTCTTTGGTTTCAAAGAACTTAGTTTTTTCTCCCTAATTTCATTATTTACTCAGTAGTCATTCAGGAGCAGGTTGTTCAATTTCCATGTGGTTGTGTGGTTTTGAGTGTGTTTCTTAATCCTGAGTTCTAATTTGATTGCACTGTGGTCTGAGAGACTGTTTGTTATGATTTCTATTACTTTGCATTTGCTGAGGAGTGTTTTACTTGCAATTATGTGGTTGATTTTAGAATAAGTGCTGTGTGGTGCTGAGAAAAATGTATATTCTATTGATATGGGGTGGAGAGTTGTGTAGATTTCTATTAGGTCTGTTTGGTCTAGAGATGAGTTCAAGTCCTGAATATCCTTGTTAATTTTCTGTCTTATTGATCTGTCTAATATTGACAGTGGGATGTTAAATATCCCCCTATTATTGTGTGGGAATCTAAGTCTCTTTCTAAGTCTATAAGAACTTGCTTTATGAATCTGGGTGCTCCTGTATTGGGTGTATATATATTTAGGACAGTTAACTCTTCTCATTGCATTGATCCATTTACCATTATGTAATGCCCTTCTTTGTCTTTTTTAATATTTGTTGGTTTAATGTCTGTTTTATCAGAGACTAGGATTGCAACCCCTGCTTTTTTTTTCTTTCCATTTGATTGATAAATCTTCCTCCATCCCTTTATTTTGAGCCTATGTGTGTCTTTGCACATGAGATGGGTCTCCTGAATACAGCACGCCAATGGGTCTTGACTCCTTATTCCAATGTGCCTGTCTGTGCCTTTTAATTGGGACATTTAATCTGTTTACATTTATGGTTAATATTTGCATGTGTTAATTTGATCCTGTCATTATGATGCTGGCTAGTTATTTTCCCCATTAGTTGATGCAGTTTCTGCATAGCTTCAGTGGTCTTTAAATTTTGGGTTGTTTTTCAGTAGCGGGTACCAGTTTTTCCTTTCCATATTTAGTGCTTCCTTCAGGAGTTCTTGTAAAGCTGGTCTGGTGGTGACAAAATCCCTCAGCATTTGCTTGCTGTAAAGGATTTTATTTCTCATTCAATTATGAAGCTTATTTGGCTGGATATGAAATTCTGGGTTGAAAATTACTTTCTTTACAAATGTTGAATATTGGCCCCCACTGTCTTCTGGCTTGTAGGGTTTCTGCAGAGAGATCTGCTCCTAGTCTGATGGGTTTCCCTTTGTGGGTAACCCGACCTTTCTCTCTGGCTGCTCTTAACATTTTTTCCTTCATTTCAACCTTGGTGAATCTGACAATTATGTGTCTTGGGGTTGCTCTTCTCAGGGTGTATCTTTGTGGTGTTCTTTGTATTTCCTGAATTTGAACGTTGGCCTGTCTTGTTAGGTTGGGGAAGTTCTCCTAGATAATATCCTGAAGTGTGTTTTCCAACTTGGTTCCATTCTCCCCTTCACTTTCACGTACACCAATCAAATGTAGATTTGGTCTTTTCAAATAGTCCCATATTTCTTGGAGGCTTTGTTTATTCCTTTTCATTGTTTTTTCTCTAATCTTGTCTTCACATTTTATTTCATTAAGTTGATCTTCAATCTCTAATATCCTTTCCTCCGCTTGACTGATTTAGATATTGATACTTGTGCATGCTTCACAAAGTTCTCGTGCTGTGTTTTTCAGCTCTGTCGGTCTTTTATATTCTTCTCTAAACTGGTTATTCTAGTTAGCAATTCATTTAACCTTTTATCAAGGTTCTTAGCTTCCTTGCCTTGGGTTAGAACATGCTACTTTAGCTTGGAGGATTTTATTACTCACTTTCGGAAGCCCACTTCTGTCAATTCGTCAAACTCATTCTCTGTCCAGTTTTGTTCCCTTGCTGGTGAGGAGTTGTGAATCTTTGGAGAAGAGGCATTCTTGTTTTTGGAATTTTCAGCCTTTTGGCACTGTTTTTTTCTCATCTTCATGGATTTGTCTACCTTTGGTCTTTGCTGTTGGTGACCTTTGGATGGAGTTTTTGCATGGTTGTCCTCTCTGTTGATGCTATCGCTTTCTGTTTGCTAGTTTTCCTTCTAACAGTCAGGCCCCTCTTCTGCAGGTCTGCTGGAGTTTGCTGTGGGTCCACTCCAGATCCTGTTTCCCTGGGTATCACCAGCAAAGGCTTCAGAACAGCAAATATTGCTGCTTGCTCCTTCCTCTGGAAGCTTTGTCTCAGAGGGTCACCCACCTAATGCCAGCCGTAGCTCTCCTGTGTGAGGTGTCTGTTGACCCCTGCTGGGAGGTGTCTCCCCATCAGGAGGCACGGGGGTCAGGGACCCACTTGAGGAGGCAGTCTGTCCCTTAGCAGAGCTCCAGCGCTGTGCTGGGAGATCTGCTGCTCTCTTCAAAGCTTGCAGACAGGAACATTTAAGTCTGCTGAAGCGGCTCCCACAGACACCCCTTCCCCCGGGTGCTCTGTCCCAGGGAGATGGGAGTTTTATCTATTAGCCCCTGACTGTGGCTGCTGTCTTTCTTTCAGTGATGCCCTGCCAAGAGAGGAGGAATCTAGAGAGGCAGTCTGACTACAGTGGCTTTGTGGTGCTGCAGTGCACTCTGCCTAGTCCTAACTTCCCAGTGGTGTTGTTTACACTGTGAGGGGAAAACCACCTACTCAAGCCTCAGTAACGGCGGATGCCCCTACCCCCACCAAGCTTGAGTGTTCCAGGCCGACTTCCCACTGCTGTGCTGGCAGCAAGAATTTCAAGCCAGTGGATTTTAGCTTTTTTGGGCTCCATGGCGGTAGGATCTGCTGAGCAAGACCACTTGGATCCCTGGCTTCAGCCTCTTTTCCAGGTGAGTGAAGGGTTTTCTCTCACTGGTGTTCCACTGGAGTACGAAAAAAAAAAAAAAAAAAAAACAAAACAAAACAAAAAAAAACCTCCTGCAGCTAGCGCTAGCTCGGTGTCTGCCCAAACAGCTGCCCAGTTGTACGCTTGAAACCCAGGGCCCTGGTGGTATAGGCACTTGAGGGAATCTCTTCGTCTGCTCGTTGCGAAGATCGTAGGAAAAGCATAGTATCTGGGCTGGATAGCACTGTCCGTCACGGCACAGTCCCTCATGGCTTTCCTTGACTAGGGGAGGGGGTTCCCTGACCCCTTGCACTTTCTGGGTGAGGCAATGCCCCACCCTGCTTCTGCTGGCCCTCCATGGGCTGCACCTACTGTCTAGCCAGTCCCAGTGAGATAAACTGGGTACCTCAGTTGGATGCAGAAATCACCTGCCTTCTACATTGGTGTCGCTGGGCACTGCAGACCAGAGCTGTTCCTATTCGGCCATCTTGCCTGGGAAAATTTTTACAAAATTAAAATGTTAAAATTATTTTGCACATCACCAGAAAGCTTGTGTTATCTGATGGAAGCATTTGTGTTATGTAATTAAACTGAAGTGTCAATATCATTTTAATTGTATTCATTCTTCCCACACGGTGAACTTTAGCATTGACTATCTAGCAAGAACCTCCGGAGTGAGTTTTATACTAGAATCAAATTAACTTTAATTATTTTGTCAAAGTCTCTTATAATTGTAATTTCCTTGATGCATCAAATTTGAAGATAACGATTTAGATGCCACTGAAGGAAAACTGTTGAAATAGAAAATTTTTATTTTATATTGTTTATTATTTTTAATATTAAGTGTTCCTAATCTTATAATATTAAAGTGTTAAAAATGTTATTAGTGGTGTAATTTTAGTCCCACCCATTTCACTTTGTTCCATCTCAGACGTTAATGATAGGCTGCCCTCATATAGGCTGACAACTTCTGTGACTCTCTCTCAGAGCGTTTGGAATGCTCTGCCTGGACTCCAAGCAGCTCAGAAGTACCAGAGAATTAAAGCACCAGAGAAAAATTTCAAAATTATGCAATAAGGATTGGTGGATAAATACCCTTTCACCCTTCAGTATGATTCTGAGACATGCTTAACAAAGTTTCCACGTTCCCAGTGGGGTTGAACCCCAGTTGCCCACATCACTAAATCACTCATACATGTACTTTCTTGCTTTTCCTCCCTTTCTTGTTGTCTCTATCCTCCTTTCCTTCACAGTTTTTTCTGGTATTACTTTTGAAACAGTTACTTAGTCCCACCCCCTTTCTTAGGGTCTACACTTGAAGAATGGATAATACTATCCTTGAAATATTGTTGGTCAATTTTTGAATCATTCAAAGACTAAGTTAAACTCACTCTATATAATATGTAACACATTTGTACCACAAAGACCATGCAAAATGGCATTAAAACTATCTGAGTCAAACATCAAACTCTACCATTTAGATTTAACATTTAGAAGTTTTATAGTAGTGCATCTCTTGAAATAAAATATTCTGCATACAAGCATTAAAATTAATAAATTGAAGATTCTGAGTTACTCTTTATTATATATAGTGAGCCACAATGAATTTGAATAATAAGTATGTGTATTAGTTTGTTCTTGCATTGCTGTAAAGTAACAGCTGATACTCATTAATTTATAAAGTAAAAAGGTTTAACTAGCTCATGGTTCTGCAGGATGTACCATGAAGTATATTTGGGAAGACTTCAGGAAGATTCCAGTCATGGCTGAAGGCAAAGCAGGAGCAGGCGTCTCACATGGCAGGAGCCTGAGCAAGAGAGAGTGAGAGGGTGGTGCTACACACTTTTAAAGAACCAAATCTCACAAGAACTCAGGATTATGAGAAGAGCACCAAGAAGATGGTGCTAAACCATTCATGAGAAACCCACCCCCATGATTTAATTATCTCCCCCCAAGCCCCACCTTCAATATTAGGAACAACAATCTGATATACAGCTTGGGCAGGGACACAGATCCAAACCATATCAGTATGTTAGAAAAACTTAAGAAATAATAAGAAACCAGCAATATTTAGGGAGTATCAAATCTAATATGTTCTCTGTTTACATTAGCAACTTTGAAAAGTAAAGAGAAAGAGTGACATGGTGAGAATGGTAAAGTAAGAAAGGCTAAAAAATAAATCTGTCCTTCCATAGAAGCAACAACAATATCTGTCAAAATTCTCAGAATCAACTATTTCAGAATACTGGACATTAACACAAAAACTGCAGCAATTAGGTCAATGCTTATTCAAGGAGAAACCAGTTATCTCTAAGTAAGAAGAGTGAGCTTTTGGCATTTCAATCTACTTTGGTCTATCTTCCATATTGCAAGTCAGTGAATGGTCTTGAAGAAAACAGCCGCCATTTCCAGTACAGGTATTGATTATAGACAGCAGAACAGATTTCATTCACCATACGTTTTTTAAAAAGGGTAGTTGTTTGGGCTTGCCTGGTGGTTGCATGGAGGAAAGAATCAATTACTTTTATATTGCCTAACCCTGATCTCTCCTTGTGCTAAGGTGGATACCCAGGGAGAATGTAATGAAAACAAAGTTCTACTTTTAGCTGTAATGTAAGCTCTGTGTAGGCAGGCAGTGAAGGGTAAGGTAGAGTTATAAACCACTTGAATAAAGCTAAAGGAATGCCCCAACACACACACACACACACACACACACACACACACACGATTTGCAAAAAAGGGCTACGTGGGGGGTGGTTAATTTTGGTTCTAAGAATTAAAATAAAAAAATCTGTTCAATCACTAGCTGAACCTTAAGCTAATGAATCAGGTATTTCATAGTTCACACATGACGAAACATAAAGAATTTTCAAATCTTGTCAGAAAAGTCACTAAACATGCAATTACAATCAGCAACAACAAACCCTGAGAAAAGAAAAAAATTACTTCCAGAGTTTGAGTACATAATGTTTAGTTTTCAACAAGTAAATTATAAAGCATGCAAAGAAACAAGAAAATACAACCCAAACTATATATTTAAGAGAAATTAACTAATTGCTATAAAATAAGATGCTAATTGTAATCCCTAGGATAACCACCAATAAAATAACTGAAATACAGTGAAAGAAACAAAGAAGTAAATTAAATGATGTACTAGAAAATTATTTAACACAAAAGAAAGCAGCAATGGAGGAACTGAGAAACCAAAGGACATGAGACATATAACAAACAAATTGCCATTTGACAGAGTATTTCCTTATCTATTTGTGTTAAATGTAAATTGACTAAATTTTCCAATAAAAAGGCAGACATGAGCTAAATGAGAAAATATTTCTCAATTATATGCTTATAAGATATTGATTTTAAATTTAAAAACATAATAGGTTAAAAATAGAATGACAAAAAGCCATTCCATGCAAACTGCAACCAAAAATGAGATGTAGCAGCCATATTAATATCAAAATTAATATATGTTATGATAAAAAAGTGGAACAAGAAATAAAGAAGAATATTATATTAACATAATAGAATCAATATATCTGGGAAATATAATAAACATATAAGCTGTTAACAACAAAGCTCCAAAATAAATAAAGCAAATATTGACCGAATTGCAAGAAAAAATAGGCAGCTTAAAAATGATGGCATAAGACTTAAATACCTCACTTTCAATAATGGATAGGGCAACTGGATAGAAAATAAGAAATGAAATAAAAGACTTAACACTATAAACCAACTGGTCCTAACTGACAGTATTCTCTGCAGTGTTCCGTAGGGAACACTCCATTCAGTAACAGACCAACGTATATTCTTCTCAACTGCACATGAAATATTCTCCAGGAGAGACCAGTTGTTAGGCCACAAAAATCTCGATAAACTTTAAAATACTGAAATCATACAAACTATATTTACTAGCTGTCATAAAAATATAGTAGAAATCAATAACAGAAAGTAAGTTAGAATATTCAAAATTATGTGAAAATTTAAAACACATTCTTTAATAACCAATGGATCAAAGAAGAAATCACAAGGGAAATTAGAAAATATTGTTATATTAAGGAATATGGAAACAAAACATGACAAAACTTATGGGATACATAGAGTACAGGGTCCAGTGTCAATACTTGCACTAAAAACCTAGAACAGTCTCAGATTAATAACCTAATATAAAAGATGAGAAAACTAAGTCCAAAATTAGCAGAAGGAGGGAAATAATAAAGATCAGAAAATAATTACGTGTAATAAAGAGTAGTAAAACAAAAGAACTTCTAAAATGCCAAGATTGCTTATTTTAAAAGATCAACAAAATTGACATCTTCACCCAAATTGGTCAACAAATAAGATTGAATACTCAAATTAATATGCTCAAGAATGAAAGTATAGAGCTTACTACTAACATTACAGAAATAATAAAAAAAATCACAGAGAATACTGTAAAAATTGTATGCCAAAACATCAGATAATCTAAATTAAATACACAAATTGCTGGAAATTCACCAGCTAATAAAACTCAAGAAAAAATAGAAAATCTTAATAGAACTATAGCAAGTAAGAAGATTTCATTAGAAATCAAAACACTTTCAAAAAATATCAGGAGCAGTTGTTTTAACTGGCGATTTTTATCAAATGTTCAAAGATCAATTAACACCATTCCTTCTCAAAATTTTCCAGACAACAAAGGAGGTGAAAACCCTTCCTAATTCTTTCTGTGAGGCCAGTATTATTCTGTATCAAAGAAAGATAAATACAACACAAGGGAAAAAACGGAGCAATATATTCTATGAATATAGATGCCAAAATTCTCAAGAAAATACTAGTAAACCAAATGTAGAAACCTTTTAAAATAATTACATATTATGATCATATGTGATTTATTCCAGGAATGCAAAAGTTATTTTCTGTATAAAAGTCAATGTAGTACACTGTATTAACAGATTTAAAGAAAATAACTATTATCTCAATAGACGCAAAAAAGGAATTTAACAGGATCTGTATTATTTCATGTTAAAAACTCCACAAGTCAAGAATAAAAAATAAATTGTTCACCTGGATAAAGACACTGAATAACCCACAGATAAAATACCATACTTTATTGTGCAATGCTGAAAGCTTTTCCCCAAATAACTGAAGCAAGAAAAGGATGTCTGCTTTTACCATTTCCATTCATTGTTGTATTGAAAGTTTTAGTCAGGTCAAAAAGGTTGAAAAAGAAAATAAAACGTATTCAAATTGTATAGAAAGAAAGTCAAAAATGGACTCCTTCCTTACACCTTATACAAATATTAAATCAAGATGGATTAAAGACTTAAATGTAAAACCTAAAACTATAAAAAGCCTAGAAGAAAATCTAGGCAATATCATTCAGGACATAATACACTGGCAAAGATTTCATGAAAAAAATGCGAAAAGCAATTGCAACAAAAGCAAAAACGGACAAGCGGGATCTATTTAAGCTAAAGAGCTTTTGCATGGCAAAAGAAACTATCATCAGAGTTAATTGACAACCTACAGAATGGGAGAAAAATTTTGCAATGTATCCATCTGACAAAAGTCTAATATCCAGATTCTACAAGAAACTTAAACTAATTTATAAAACAAACAAAAAAGCCATCGAAAGTGGGTAAAGGACATGAACAGACACTTCTCAAAGGAAGGCATTCATGTAGCCAAAAAACATATGCCAAAAAGCTCAAAATCACTGATCGTTAGGAAAAGGCAAATCAAAACCACAATGAGATATTGTCTCATGCCAGTCAGAATGGTGATAATTAAAAAGTCAAGAAACAACAGATGCTGGCGAGGCTGCCAAGAAATAGGAACACTTTTACACTGTTGGTGGGAATGTAAATTAGTTCAAACACTGTGGAAGACAGTGTGGCAATTTCTCAAAGATCTGGAAGAAGAAATGCCATCTGATCCAGCAATTTCATTACTAGGTAATATACTAGGTATATTACCAAAGAATACAAGTTATTCTAGTATAAAGATACATGCATGCATATGTTCACTGCAGCACTGTTGACAATAGCAAAGACATGGAACCAACCTAAATGTCCATCAACAGTAGACTGGATAAATAAAAATGTGTAACATATATAGCACGAAATACTATGCAGCCATAAAAAAGGAACAAGACCATGTCTTTTGCAGGGGCATGGATGGAGCTGGAAGCCATTATCCTCAGCAAACTAACGCAAGAACAGAAAGCCAAACGCTGCATGTTCTCACTTATAAGTGGGAGATGAATGATGAGAACACATGGACACGTGGGGGACCAACACACACTGGGGCCTGTTGAGGATAGGGGAAGGGAAAGCATCAGGAAGAACAGCTAATGGTTACTGGGATTAATACCTGAGTGATGGGTCTATCTGTGCAGCAAACTACCATGGCACATGTTTACCTGTGTAACAAACCTGCACATCCTGCAAGTGTACCCTGGAACCTAAAATAAAAATTGATAAAATTTTAAAAAAGAAAGACAATTATTTTTTATAGAACCCATGATCTTATACTTAGAAAACCCTAACAAATTAATAAAAAAAGTAAGAGCTAAAAAGTGAATTTAGCAAAGTTGCAGGATACAAGATTAATGTACAAAATCAGTTGCATTTTATACAATTACAATGAATGAAATTGAAATATAATTAAGAAAACACTTTTCCTTACAGTAGCATAAAAAGGATAAAATACTTAGTAATAAATGTAACCAAAAAGTGAAAGACTTTACACTGAACACTATGAAACATTGTCAAAATAAGTTAAATATGACCTAAATAGACATGTTTATTTAGACATATTATATGTTTGTATATTAAAAGTTAATTTTTTTTTCTTTTTTGAGATGAAGTCTGGCTCTGTCACCCAGGCTGGAGTGCAGTGGCACGATCTCGGCTCACTGCAAGCTCTGCCTCCCAGGTTCACGCTATTCTCCTGCCTCAGCCTCCCGAGTAGCTGGAACTACAGGTGCCCACCACCACGCCCAGCTAATTTTTTGTATTTTTTAGTAGAGATGGGGTTTCACCATGTTAGCCAGGATGGTCTTGATCTCCTGACCTCGTGATCCACCTGCCTCGGCCACCAAGTGTTTTCTTAATTATATTTCAGTTTTGTTCATTGTAATTGTATAAAATGCAGCTGATTTTGTATATTGATCTAAGACAATATTGTTTAAATAACATTTTAACAAGTCGACCTCCAGATTAAATACAAATCCATCAAAATTCTTGTTGTCATTTTTTTCTTTCAGAAATGAAAAGCTGATTCTAAAATTCATAGAGAATTGCAAGGAACACAGAAGAATGAAGAGTATCTTTAAAAAGGACAAAACTGGAGGTCTCACACTTCTCAATGCCTGAATTTACTAGTAAACTACACTAATCAAACAGTGTGGTATTATCATAAACATAGACAGACATGGATCAATGAAATAGAACTCAGAGTCCAAAAATAAAACAACATATTTATGGTCAATTGATTTTCAAGAGAATTGGTAAAAACTCTTAATGAGAAAAAAATATTTTCAATAAATGGTACTGAGACAACTAAATATTCACAAGTAAAAGAATAAATTTGGACCTCTACATTATGTCATATATAAAAATTAAATCAAAATGGATCGAAGACTTAAATGTAAGAGCTGAAAATATAAAATTCATAGAAGGAAATATATGTGTAAATCTTCAACACTTTACGTTAGCCAGTGGTTGTTGAAACATAGCACAAAAGACACAATCAACCAAGAAAAAAATAAACTGTACTTCATCAAAATTAAAAACAATTTTTCCATCATTGGACACTACAAAGCAATGGAAAAGATAACTCATGGAATTAAAAAATATATTTCCGTATTATATATCTGATAAAAGTCTAGTATCCAGAATATGTAAAGAATTCTCACAAATAACAACTAAAAGATAAACAGCTAATTTCAAAAATGCGGCTGGGCACAGTGGGTTACAACTGTAATCCCAGAGCTTTGTGAGGTTGAGGTGGGAGGATTGCTTGAGGCTAGGAGTTTGAGACCAATCTGGGCAACATAGCAAGACCCTGTCTCTACAAAAATACCTTTAAAAAAAATTAGCCAGGTGTGGTGGTGGGTGCCTGCAGCCATAGCTGCTCAGAAGGCTGAGGTGGGAAGACTGCTTAAATGCAGGAGTTCAAGGTTGCACTGAACTATAATATGCCACTGCACTCCAGCCTGGCCGACAGGGCAAGACTCTATCTCAAATAATAATTTAAAAAAATGAGCAAAGAACATAGACATTTTTCCATAAATATATAAAGTCAATAAGCATCTGAAACAATGGTTAATATCATTAGGTCATTAAGAATTCAAACAAAGAACTACTCTAAACCCACTAGGATAGCAAGATGAAGAAGATAATAAAAGAAGGAAGAGGAGGAGAGGGGGAAAAAGAGGAAGAGAAGGATGGAGAAGGCAAAGGGAGGAGAAAAAGGTGGAGGAGGAGAAAGGGAGGAAGAAGATAATAAGAAGTGCTGGCAAGGATGTGGAGAAACTGGAATGTTTATACATTACTGATGGGAATATAAAATGGTGCACTTGCTGTGGAAAACAGTATGGCTATTTCTCAAAAAGCTAAAAGTAGGGTTATATCAGATAACTCAGAAATGTCACTCCTAGGTGTATGCCCAAGAGAATTAAACACATATGTTTACATAAAAACTTGTATACAAATGTTGATAGGAGTATTATTAATAATAGTCCCAAATTAGGCACAATCAAAGTGTCCATCAAATGATGAGTGGATAAACAACTGTGGTAAATGCATACAGCAGAATATTATTTAACCAAAACAGAAAAAGTAATGATACATGCTACAGTGTGGATGAACTTAAAACCATGCTAAGTTAAAAAGCCAGTCAATAAAGTCCACATGTTATATGATCCATTTACATAAAATATCCAGAATAGTCAAATTTATACATGCAGAAACTAGATTAATAATAACAGGGGCTTGGAGTAGAAGGAATAGTGTGTGGCTGTTTATTAGGTGTAGCTTATTTTTTTGGGGTGATAATATTCTGGAAGATAGTAGTAATTATTGCACAACATTCTGCATATACTACAAACTGTCAAATTTCACAATTTAACATGGTTAAAATGCTAAATCTTATGTAAATTTTACCCTCCTTTATTTTTTAATAAAATGAATTGTATTAATTTATTTACTGTTCTTACCATATCAGAGTATTGACTATACCCAGTTGTACATTCCTTTTTTTTAGATGTATACTTAGCATGTACACATAAGTGTGTGAGGGTAGGAACTATCTCAATGGTTTTTAGAGTTAGATTATTCATTTGTAACAATATATCTGATGTATCATGGGATCTTAATAAATGTTTGTTGAGTGAAAAATAAATGACTGGCCTTATTCTTCTATGTTCCCCTTGAAAAACCTTAGTGAATCATAGTGAATGACAGAATAATTTAGTAATAATATAATTAATCAAATTATACCCCAACTTTCAGCTGTTGTGCTGAATTGATATTGCTACAGCTTGTGGTACTTGTGTAACTATTGATCTGGTAATATTTTTTTTTTTGACAGTCTTTTTCTGTTGTCCAGGCTGGACTGCAGTGGTGTGATCATGGTTCACTGCAGCCTCAACCTCCTGAGCCCAAGTGATCCTCTTGCCTCAGCTTCCCAAAGCACTGGGATTACAGCCATGAACCACCATGCCAGCCAAATGCATTCTTTTATTAGTAATAGTCAGGAATAAGAATCAGATGCAATTTGTTCACATGTGACAGACAACAATATATATTTAAAGTCTTATCCCAGTGCCTGTTTAATTTTCTATTTCTTTGTCACAGTGCATTCTGATGGGATCAACACCATCAGGACATTCTGCAGAATACTACATTGACACATGTTATTGATACTAGCATGAAATCAGACCAAATAAATACAAATCCACAAATTATTTAGATTGTTTGGTAATGCATTTGGGCTTTAGAGAATGGAAAGTAAACCTCACAAAAGTTCAGGGATATACTATGCAAGAAAATTTATGTGAGTAGTGGTCTGGAAAATACTTGCAAAATAAAGGACATAATAGTGTACCTTGCACAACCTGCTACTAATAAAAGAATGTAATGCTTGCAGGATTGATTTTTAATAAAACATTCCTCAATTAGGAATGGCAAATTAGATACATTTATCAGGTGATACTGAAGGCTACTAGTTTTTAGAAGTTATAAAGCTGAAAAGGACTTTCCAGCATGTCTAGGACTATATGACCCAGCAGGTCCCATGGTATTAGAGATATGTATGTTAGAGAAAGTTTCCATGTGAGAAACCACAAAAAAGCTCCATTAAGAATCTGGAGCTTGTCGTCACAGATTATAAGCCATTCAAGACTGAGTGTAAGAAGATCCACAGTATTTGAGCCAATAATTGTATGTGTGTTAGTCCACATACAACTGAAGAGAGAATTGGCTCAAGGAAGGCATACATATAAAATCATGGGCAATGGAAATTGAATTCACTCTTTGTTTGGGTACCTGGAAGTAGCAAGATTGGATGATTACATATAAGAATGTCTAGAAAGAAGCATATGTATGGATTAATGAGTAGATCTAATGAGTGAGAATATTTATATTACATGTTAATGCCAAGCAGAGGCATCAATTGCATTGGGCAATACACAGTAGAGTCAATAGAATGACTGAACCAAGGATATCAGCCAACCTCTATCTTCAGTCACCATAGTGCCTTCTTAGTGAGCTTATTAATTGAGCAGCTATGGTTAAAGATATCAAAGCTATGAATTAGGCATTGAAAATGGCATGGTTTCTTGTAGTAGATTGAAGGATTCGTCACAAACCCTTCCACTCTCATCAATCAACAGGTAATATGTATTTCTCAATTCTTTAATCTGTATTGGCCACGAGAAATGTTTTGACACATTTCATAAGAACAAATATAATGCAAAAAGACACAAGAAAATAGTATCACTTCAGGGGGTGTGCTGTCTCATTTTTCTTACATCTTTAGAAGCAGCCTGCTGGAGAGTGACAGGCCATCTGGGAGAATAACAAACAACAGTGACCTAGCCAAAGCCCATTTCTCGACAGATATTAAAGGCCATTCTAAGTGATCTATGTGTCATTTGACCCTCACTCTGACCAAAGACACATATAAGACTCCAGAATAAATCAGCTAGGTCATCCTATACTCCCAGAATAATGAGCTTTAATAAATGCTTAATCTTTTAATTCACTAAGTTTTGGAGTGGTTTGTAGTGTAGTAACAAGTAACAGATATAGAAATGAGCACCAAGAAATGGAGTGCTGGCAGGGAGTAACTTAAACAGTGGCCTTGACTTTGCAAAGAGTTGGCTTGCAAAAGCAGGAAAAGAGTCAAGGAAGATGTTGGAAAAGATGTTAACTAGTTGTATAGTTGCAAACAACTGTAAATGTTGTGTTTTGACTAAACCTGCAAGGTAGAAAAGGTACCTAATTAACCATATACCTTAGAAAATGTCCCAGGGAGGGTTAAAAATGGTGGTTGACTTACTATAATTTCTTATAAGAAGATATGAGATAAAGTAATAAACTTCTGAAATAGGATCCCACAAACATAATCTTTGACCAAAATATTTTCTTTATGGAAAAAAAAATAATGTGGTTTGGGTGCACAACTCAAGGATTCACTGGTCCTACTTCATATGACATCATCAAAAAAATATGCCAGCCACATAAACAATGGAATAAACATTGAAGGCATATCTGAAAATTCTACTTCGGAATGACACCTTGAAAGAATAGGGTATAGCCTTTAAAATATGGTAGACAAACAGCAATTATATGATCATTATCTGCAGTAGATAGAATAAATGAATCTAGAAGCAAAACAGTGCAAATAGGATTTGTCCCATTCAGCAACACTGAGTACTCTACTTGGAGAAATATTACTTTTCATTATTGCAACTTTAGACTCTAATCACAAGAACGGACATGATGATAGTCCTCATGGTAACTTTTGGCTCTTTGCATCAGTAAACTAGAATCACAGAAAAAGACTGTCATACTGGGAGGGGTAATTCACTGTAGTCAATGTGAGATCATGGGGCTATTGCAAAATAATGAAGGTGGAGAATTATATGTTTGACAATCTACTGTAAAATATACAAATATAGCAAACATTATCTGAGAAATGCATGCTAATTAGATATTCAAAATCCTTCAGGGATGAAAGCATAGATCACATCACCAGTCAAGCTACCCAGACCAACAGAAGTGTTGGCTAAGAGGAAATAATATTTAAATATGTAGAAAAAAAGAAGGATAATATCAGTTATAGTTTTAGAAACGACTAGAGTGGAAGCTATAGGTCATCTAATTAAACTTTAATTTACTCATTTTTGCAGAAAGTATGACAAATCTGAATCCTAGTGAAGCAGTGACAAGATAAAGTGAGGCTAATGTCAGGAGCAAGCCAGTCAGATTGAAGCACATGATGGGTTCTAGTGGATGCTGTTTGGTTTCCCCCAGCTCACCTTTTATTAGGCAAGTATGTCCGTTCACCAACTGTCATAGATTTTAAAAGAGCACTTTTCTCTGGAGAATATTCTCACCCAAATAGGAGTTGCCTCTTCTGTGAAACTAAGCTTCCTTGCTCAATAGAAAGACCTTATGCTTCAAATGTCAGATTTACATTTGGATAAAATAGCAGTGAAATTTTCTCCAGTGTGGGGGCAACTTTGCCATGCAACTTATACTCCAGGCCTACTAGCAGGATTAAAGCTGAACCTCTTCAACAGCTGAGGCTGAGGCCACATTCTGGCTGATCTGTTTTTCCCTGATGTATCCTGCTGTGAAAGGATAAATGGAAAATAGTTTAGTCTTTGAGGGCTATTTGATATTTATTCCACCTACTCAACTCTGTCATTGTAGCACGAAAGCAATCACCGTCAATAAATAAACAAAGGATGTGTCTGTGCTCTAATATAATTTTATTTAGCAAACAGGCAGTGGGTGTGTATCATTTAATTCTTGGCAACCATTTGCCAATCCATCTACATTAATTTGGGGAACAATAAATATTAAATGTAGGGTAGTGAGCCAACTATGTACTCAGAGGAAAATGTATAGTCCTAAAAACACTCATTACTGAACTTGGATGAATTAAAATATAAATGGCTAAAAATAACATTTTAAAAGATCATGTAAAACAAATAAATTAAGAAGGAAGTAAAGGAATAAGATTAGTTATGAATGGATTATAATAGAAAAAATAGTTATTATAATATAAAAAAGAAAGAGCTTTAAAAACTTCAACAGAATAAATCACAAGGAAGCCTAAGATAATATGGACAAAATGTAAATACAAATTTAGAAATGTAAATGTGATCAACATGTCATTTACATTATTCCACCTGATGGCAAAAGTTGAAAATCTTCTTGTATTTTTTAAATCCTCTTTATGTTGGACTGAAAGTTGACGAAGAGAGCACATGAAAGTAATATATAGTGTAGTAATCTAACACCAAAATTGATTCAAACATTCCAAATAAAAAATCACAATTAAAATGGAGCAATCTAGTAGAAAAATAAATTTCATAGTCACATAGAATACATTTCAGTAATGCAATGATATCTAAACTTTAGGAAACATATTAAATGTATGAATATCTTGATGCATGAAGGAAAAACATTTGGTAGATTGGACATATATTGCTGATTAAAAACAATCAGTATAATAGGAATACATGTAACTATGTGCCATAGAACACATGTACTTTGATTAATGGTGGAACTTTAAGAGCATTCCTATGAAAGTGAGAACTCAGATGGGGCAGCATGTTATCACCACTATCTTTTTCTAACACTTTCTAAAAGTGCCAGTCAATGGAATTTAGAAGAGAAAAAGAATAAGTTGTACAAATATTTGGATTGGCAAGGGAAATTTATTTCTGTATCAGGAAATTACATCAGAATAAAATTTATGTGTATGTGTTTTTGCTTAAATATATACATATAAATAAATATATGGGTATATTTGTGTGTATATATACATATAATTATTAATAATATATGGTTGAGAAAAGTGACTATTTACAAGTTACATATACAGAGTCAATTGTGGCAAGTGCTTAGACACTGGGTTCCTAGAAAACTTGGTTCAAGATACAACTTTGCCACTTATCAACTATGTAATATGAATACATAGATAACCTCTTTGAGTATTAGCTTTGTGATCTGATAAACTGAGATAACAAGAATACCTACATATTTTTGCTAGTTTGGAAATATTGTTCATTATTCAGTGTAATATTATATATATTTAAATGAATAATATTCAATATCAAGATTAAGCATGAAAATATCAAATGTAATTACTAAAATGATTATCCAGAAAACTATAACATTTACTGGAGTTTAGTAAAAAAGTTAATAAAATTTGAAAAACTTTGTAAAAGCAAGAGGCAAACGCTGTCCTAAATGATATGTACTTTATAATTCTCCCTTATATTAATGAATATAGATATTTTCTAGTTATACAGTAAACTTCCAAAGTCTCTCTGTTTAATTACTTTAATTTAGGACATTTTCAAAATGACAGAACAGTCTTTGGAATAAACAGACTATGAAAAGATTCATAAAATTTCTGTGAAACAAAGAAAAATAATATGAGCAATATTCTCTAGTAATCCAAAAGTATTCTGGTAATCAAAAACGCACCATATAAAGTCAGAAGCGAAAAACTCAGTCAAGCAAGAAAGGGCACTACAGATAAGAGGGGATGAAGAGAGCAAGAGCCGAGGAGAGAGAGCGAGTCAGAGAAGGAGAGAGTGAAAGAGAATGAAAACTAAATTGTTTTCTGAAATCAGTGAGAAAAATATGGGTTGTGAAAGTAGTGTTCATATAAATAGCTATCACATTAAATTTTTAAAAGCTTATGAATATTTAAATAATTTTTGCCTCAGTAATCTTTAAAAAATAGAGATAAATAAAACTTTATTTTCCTTATTAGATTAAGAAAAATATAAGTGATTTCAATGCTGATGTAGAAATAATCTACAGTGGGAATGTAATTTGGTGGGACATATAGAAGACAATTTTACAATAAACAAGATGATGTTAAATCTGTGTATAATTTGACTTATCAACTCCACTTCAAGGCCTTTGATCTTAAAATGTATAAATACATACATATATACAAATATGTTAGCCACTGTTTTTTATTTTAATAGGCAAATCTTGAAAGCAAATCAAATATTTAAAATATTTGATGTAATATATTATGGGAAAGCAACTTTTGCAGCTATTTAAGACATTGAATAAATTTATTTATTTACCCAACTTACTTAGCTTTCATTACAAGAAATGCTACATCGAATTTTGACATAATATCACCAAAATTACTATGGACTGCACTGTAATGCTTTTTCAATATTTTTAATGAATCGTAGGGAGTAAGGTGACTACTTTTTCAAAAGTTGAAATGGAACAATAATCGTGCAATAAGGCAGAGCAAAAAGACAATACAAACCCACTGTAGTTTCTCTATACTCCCTCTCAACTTTACATATTAATGTGTATATTGTATTTTAGATATAAATCTAAGTCACTGCTAAAATGTATCATACTCATATTTTGTAAAACTAAATGCAGCTGAAAGTAGTTTAAAGAGTTGTTTCTGTCATGTTTTATACCATGGTAATAGTCTTAACAAGTATAACAGAGAAGAAACTTGAATAGATATGACCCATTTATTTCTTCTTGTTAAATGCATTTCACTATGTCTAGAAATTACTATTGTTATAAAAGTTTTCTGGGTTTTTTTCTCAAGTAATTGCAGACATCATAAATAAACCATATAGTTCTTTTATGTGACTAAAGAACTTTGTGAAGCATAAATTACTAAAAGGAAAAGCCTTCCTAATAACACTCGAAAACACTTTAAGATATTAGAGTGTTAGGTAGGAGAACTGGGAAAGTAGTTATAATAACACTGCCCCACGTGACACCACAGATACTGATGAGAAGCAACACTAGAAATACTTCCAGAAGTAATGGCAAGACTCTAATATTGTCTGAAATGGGCAGTATATGCAAACAACAAACTTAATTGTTTTAAATCTAACAGTTACCTAAAGAGGGCATAATGAGTCCTAAACTCATTTATTCAGGCCAGATGATTCCAGGAAATAATAAATGTGAAACCCAAATCTACTAAATTTTAAAGGGATGTTTTATTCTCAAATTCCAAAAATAGATTTAATTTTTATTATAATGTTAATATTGAAAATGTTTCAGAAAGTGTTACAAAACAAAATGAAATGCCATAATATTATAAGCAAAATTCATGGCTGTGATTAAAATTATATTTTTTGTGTGTCAATTTTACTATTTATCAGCTTTTTGACTTTTTATACTACCTAAGATATTTAACTGCTTATTTTTCTAATGCATTTTATATTTTACTAAATCATATGATTTAAAAGAAAAATGAAACATTTATGCTTCTATTACTGTTTTAAAATTAATTCTTGAAAAGCTAAAAAAAGTATCATATTTTTCTATTTTAAATGTGAAAAAATAAAATTTTAGTTTTTGTAAATGCTTTCACTTTAACATACCACTTTAAGGTGAGTGGTGGTTTTAAGCACAAGCAAATAAACACAGAAATACATTTCCTTTTTTTAACTAACTTTTGCATTCACTTCATGTCTCTGTGCATAATTGCTGTATTTCTAGAGCTAAAATAAAAGAAAACTTTAAAATTAAGATAATTTTCAAATCAAGAATTACTTTTGAGTCACTGTTCCCATAATAATTACTGATTGCATCTGAATTCATTGAGTACTTCATGCAAAATGAATTATGAGTGTTAGCCAAACTTCATAGAGTCAATTTTTTTCATAATTACTTTATGGCAAATATTTTGTATTTGCAATACAAGGACCAAAACAATTAAGGTAAATTATATTTACAAAAGAAATAGAATGAATACCAAAAATATTAAAGACATCCAACTATCACATATAACATATAAATTAAATTTCTACATTTACTTTTAGTTTACATTTGATTGTTTTGACATGTATTTAAAAGTGTCTTACAAAAATTGTATCTTTGAAATAAAATATATATCACATGAAAGTGAGAAGAGGCATAGACTTTGTAAGAACACAAGCAACAAATTACCGAATAAAGCAACATTTTAAAAAAAGAAAAGTAAGCCAAAAATTAAACTTTCAAAATTAAAATACATAAGTAAAGAAAAAGAAACTATAAACAACAAACTGTAGTATGTAGAAAGGAAATAACAGTAGTAATAAGCTATGTTAGCTATTTCAGCCAAATAGTTTTAACAAACATATCAGAAAACGGGAAACACCAGGACAAGTAACAATATTCAGTAAGGGATATAAAATCAACATGACTTTCAAGCATGGGCACTCAGATTTTCAGCTCCAGGTTATTTTACAATAGGAAGAGAAAAAGTTTGAAAAAGTGCAGAAAGAACACAAAAGAATTTTAAAAAATCAAATACGAAATTTTCTCATTTAGGATTTTACTTTCTTTCCCCGCAAATGTGTAATGAATTGCTAGTAAAAATAAACAGATAAATAGTTCCATAAAATAATATATGCATAAACACAAAATCTTAGTACATTTGCCTTAAAAATTAGCAGTCAAATATATTTAATTTATGCTAATTCTACATATAATAATCAGATATAATTCTTTTAAAGGTTAAAGAGCTACAAAAGAATTGTCAATACAAAAATGTTCCAAAAGATTGCAAATATTCTGAAAGGCTATAAATGAGTGAGAAAAATAAATGATAGGCTTTTTTGTCATATTGTTTCTAATGGGATACCCTGGGAATAATGTCGAGACTGAGCTTTGTAACTCCGTCATTAATGAAATAAGAGAGAAATAAATAGGGTATCACTTTAAATCTGAAATTTTGTTAAATTAAGTTCTATTTAAAACAGATAAAGATTACAATGAGACTTAACCTACATAAAAATAAATTAAGGTACTAAATGGCAAAATGTTAGCAAACAACTTGGTTTCATGTGGACTCTATGCATAATCACAAATGCAATCTAAAGTAATATTTCTTTTATATTTATTTCAAATAAATATTGACTTAGTGTCTCTGATTTAGTAGAGGTGATGGATCCATATGAGTCCCTTAGAATTTGGATTGTATTATTTTGTTTCTTTATTTGAACATAGTCTTCTTTAAGAATATCTGATCAAAGACAGCAAGGTGTATAACTACGTTTACTACAGTTTTAGAGTTCTTCATCCTGTAGTCAACCCATTTCTTTTCCAAAGAGTAGTGATGGTCATATGAATTAATTAAAAAATGGATTCAGTCTGTAACATCAATATCACTTTTAAATTGCTTGGTAAAGAAAATGAAAAGTAAGAACACATATTTTTGGTTAAATATATAATTAAAATGACTAACCCATAAACAGTTCTAACTATGGTATGTGAAAGATGTTCCTTACATATGTGAACTAATTTATTCGTTAAAAGAACACAAAGCGATAAATATCATTATAGTCACTTTCATTTTGCAAATAACAAAACATAGATTCAGAAATGCTAAGTGCCTTAAAGCCAATCAGAGAGCTAACGACAGAGTTAGTATTCAAACTCAGTCTCGCTGCAAGCTCTATGCTCATGGTCAGTATATCGGGTAGTAGCCTTTTATATGTTTATCATTGCTCCTTCAAATGGGACAATCACAATGGGTGTTTGACCAAATGCAAATAAAATTCATAAATTAGAGTTCAAACTTCAATTGTGAAAGTTCATCTTGACTTTCTGAGATCTCCCTGAATTTACATAAGCTTTACCCTAGCCATTCATATTTAGTATACAACTTCCATTGCTGGGTGAATGATGCTGGGTTGAGTGGTTGGAGGGGTAACTTTACAGACAGGAAGGTTCTCACAAACGCATGTGATTTTATAAAAATTCACACATCGCAGCAAGTTTCAAACAGTATCACAGTGTAATAGGCTGTCAATATTAGGATAAGAAATGAAGGAATTCTCTATAAATTTACATTCATGCTTGTATTTGACATGCAGGAAAACCTGAAAGTTTATACAAATGAGTATTTCTTTTAAAAAAAGAAAAACTTGTTCGAGATAGCTTCCTAAAGAAGTATCACATTTTAGAGAGCTTACAACTTCCCTGGAAAATGTAGATAATGATCATGAACTCCGAGTAGAGCTTGCTTTTTCTTTTTAATATCTCAGGGTTTTATCACCAATATTTCTAATCTCCACATTTAGCTATGTAAAGACATTCACTAGTAGATGTAAATAATTCACATTGGTTAATATTTAAGTAAGTGTGATGTATTACTTAATATGGTACAATATTCTTACCTTTAAAAAATAATGAAATGACATTGAGAATATCAGTTCCTTAAACACCTGGTCTACTGTGCTGTGGAATTTTTTTTTTAAAAAAGAATAATCTAGCCTTTTAGTTCTAATATATAGTATCAAATTACTAAACAGCTTTTGATCAAAGTGACCTTCCTTTGAATTAGAAAAAACTAGGCTTCATACAATAAGTAAAGAATAATCACTTCACCTTAGGCTATAATAACTTCTCAAATGCATCACTAAACAAGCTTACAGATAGCTTAGATTTTAGCAAAAGAATCCCATTTAAAACTTTATTAAATATATATGTGTCCCAAAGATATGTATTACTAGTAGGGAATTTTTTGATTCAGTACTACTTTTCTTAGTTTTAATTATATAGAAATATGTGATTCAGTCCAGCCATGAAAATAAGCGCACTGCACCATGCATTTAGCATCTGAAAGAAATCAGGGCAGCCTAATGAAAAGCAGGTAAAGGACCTGATAAGAATAAGGAAGTAGGTGGAATGAAACAGTTGACACATGTTGCTTCTCTTTTCTAGAGCTCTTTTGCTGGTGTTTATGAGAATCTATGGGGGGATTCTGAAGTTATCTGGTAAAGAGAGACACCAATGCTTTATCATTTTTTAAAAGATTACTTAAAAGCTTATGAGGAGTACAAACAAAGGAGAGACAAAAAGTCAATATGAACTAGAATAGTTACAATGAAAATTTTGCAAATCAAGTCATGTTATCCAAAATCATTATTTTGCTTATATTAGAGTTTAAAACAATTCATATGGTATGTATTTAAATGAGGACACCTGGAAAATCAATATAAGATATTCAATTATTGGTAGCTACTAAAATTTATCAGAATAAGTTATTAAAAATTATCCAAATGTGTTTTCATAAAAGCTGTTTCATAATTAGACATTAAAATACAATGCCAATAGTATAATAACAGTTATCTCAAAAACTGAATTTGTCTATTTATAATGAAGCACCATTTTTGTGTCCCAGAAAGTGATTTTCTTAGATCTGGTCAGTGGTTAGACCACATGCAAGAAATATTACATACAGATTCACTGTTTTGAGGAGAGATTTGGCTGAGGTACACGTGGCGGAGGACTCCAAGCTTGCTATAGTGTTTTAGGGATTTTACTCTTAAATTTTTCATACCATGTGTATATTGTGAAATAAGATTAGAAGAATTAATGGTTAAGGAGGACATATGAAATTTCAATTAATGTTGCTTTACTCTAATAATCCAAGTTCTAAAGATAAACTCTCAGATAGAACATGATAAGCTATCCAAGAGCAGAAAGTGACGAGATACAAAATCCTTGAGGCCTAAGGTCTTGGAAGTGAAGATTCATTAACAATCTGCTTGCCTCTAATTAGTACAATTTTTCTGTTGACTGTTACCCTCTAATTTTTTCACCATGATATAATTCACATACATGATAATATGTAAACTTTATTCCTTAGAAAGAGAATGGGTTAGATAATAATAAAATAAAGTCAGCAATAAAACAAAAAACCAAAACTTGCTTTATTTTTTATCAAAGAATATGTCTCTGCCTTTTTGAATAGACACAACCACATACAAAGAAAAAGTGAAGCAGATATATTTATAAATAAAATTCTCAGAAAAAAAAATAAAGGTGGCAAGTAGAGTATTCCTTAAGCAAAGGAAATCAAGAAAACTAATAAACCAAAATGCTTTTACTTTTTAAAATGTATAAACAGACTGTTATTACTTTTGTTTTGTCCCAACTTGTTGTATTTTTATAAATGCCTAATTTTAAAACAGCACTGGGCTTCACCAGTATCTCAGCAGCATGATTTTGTATGACAGATTTATTCGGATTGCTATTGAGATGTAAAATATTTGGAAAGTCTCTATCTATTGTTTGGCTGAGTTACCTTGTGTGAACTAGAAATATATGCTGAAACTGCCAGCTACTGCATAAAATATTTCATTAACATTGTGACCTCATTTGTTAGATTGAATTGCAGTCTTTTTGTCAAATATCCCCCCACAGATATATTCTGTTCTACAAAAATAGAATAAAAACAACACAAATGAGAAGATAATTAATTCATATCTGTGAAACTCAGAATGCCCAGAATGTAACAATTAACACTGTATATGATACAAATTGCAATTAAATTTCCATTTTTATTATAGTTTAGGTAACAGAACTTTGCAAATACTTTGCAATTTTTAAAATTTTCTTTCATGGCAGAGATTCATTCAAATTAGATGTTTTTAATGTTCTCTCTCTCTCTCTCTCTCTCTCTCTCTCTGTGTGTGTGTGTGTGTGTGTGTGTGTGTGTGTGTGTGTGTGTCTATGTGAAATAAAGCAAAACCGTGCCCAGCCAGGGAATTTGCAGGATGTGATCATGCCCATCAGAAAGAAGAAGGCAACTGGCAGATGAAAATACACTACATGGAGGATGACTTGGCACATGCATATTATAAATATATAGGGATATCCGCAGTGCTTACCACAAATATGTGTATTGCACTATAGAGAAGATTGAATAACTGACTTAAAACTACAGGCATAAATGGATTCACGTGCAAACTGAATGCAATGAAAGAAGGCAAGAATGCCAAGGGCTGAGATTTTGAGGTGTGTAGTAAGTGAGGGAATGCATGGTCTAATAGCAGAATAAATGCTTATAGCTTTGACACTACCTCATAAAGGGAACAATTAATTTTGAACTCTTCATTTTTTGGAGGGGGGTGTGGTGGGGATGGAGTCTCACTTTGTTGGCCAGTCTAGAGTGCAGTGGCACAGTCTCAGCTCACTACAACCTCCGCCTCCTGGGTTCAAGTGATTCTCCTGCCTCAGCCTTCTGAGTGACTGGGACTACAGGCATCTGCCACTACACCCAGCTAATTTTTGTATTTTTAGTAGAGACGGGGTTTCACCATGTTGGCCAGGCTGGTCTAGAACACCTGACCTCATGATCTGCCGGCCTCCACCTCCCCAAATGCTGGGATTACAGGCGTGAGCCAAGCGTGAGCCAAGGTAGCTGGCCTGAATTCTTCATTTAAAAGCAGGGTTTATCTAGTAATGCTGTAAGTACCTGCTTCTGCCTTATACTATATACTCTGTTTCTCATACACACACACACACACACACACACACACACACACACACACACACACACACACACACAAAATCTACCAAAAAATTTTAACTACTCCTACTTTATAGCATCCCTGTTAGTTATTTTTTTTTTCTATTTCAATCTCCTGTTTACCTTAATATATCCCTTTTGACATTAAGAGACTTTTCCCAATTTTCAAGCTGGTGTCTGAGTGTATGGCTAGTTTGGCAGGTCTACCTCTCTCCATTTACTTAAAACTTTATCTAGGGGAATAATGCAAGAGATGAGGGAGGTGTGAGAAGGAAGCTTCAGGGTAAGAGTGAAACTTTTTAAATGACAGATCTTACAACACTTTTTTAATTCAATAACAGAATTTTCCACGGAAGTTTTGAGTTTGGTATCACATCTTAAATTAAAAAACTATATTTTAAAAACAAAATTATAGATAGTTATGTGGTCTTGCTGAGGTAGACAATCTGACAGCATAATCAAATTTCCTTCAACTAACTATTCTAGTAGATTTCATAGATGTGTAATGGCAGTTGGGTTGGCGTGGGTAGGATAATGTGATCATGGCTCCTACACTTAGACATCCTATATGTTAACACAGTATGCTACCTGGGAAAAATTGAGGGGATAGCATATATGCAGTAAAGCTGAAGGGTATAGGCAAGGGATATTTCTCAAGGGTTCATGTGTGCCATTCTAAATTTTTAAAAATTATATTCTCAACAAGTTTAGTATGTGGATATATATTAGAGGTTATGTTTTATTTGTGTAAATGTATGGGGTACATGTGAAATTTTGATACATGCATAGTGTAGTGGTGAAGCCAGAGATTTTAGGTTATCCATCACCTGAATAACGTACATTGTGCACATTAAGTAATTTCTCATCATTTACCTTGTCCACCTCCTAAACCTCTGAGTCTTCATTGCCTATAATTCCACACTCTACGTTTATGTGTACACATTATTTATCTACCCCTTATCAGTGAGAACATCAGGCATCTTTCTGTGCCTGAGTTGCTTCACTTAAGATAAAGGCCTCCAGTATCAACATCATATAGGACATTTGAACTTAGGAGCCATAATCTGTAACATTACCCTACCCATACCAATCCAACTTATGTCACAGATCTATGAAATTTACTAAACAAGTTAGTTGCAACAAATCTGATTATTCTGTCATCTGCCTAACTCCAGAAGATAGTCATACTGTTTCTTCTCTTTAAATTAAAGACATGATTTTTTTATTTCTAAATGTAATTATATTGGACATATTTACTACATTTTTAAAATCCAGTTATCCATTGGTGAACATTTAGGCTGATACATTATCTTTGCTACTGTGAATTGTGCTGTGATAAACATACAAATGACAGTGTATTTTTAATATAATTATTTCTTTTCCTTTGGGCAGATAACCAGTAGTTGAATTGCTGGCTCGAATGGTAGTTCTATCTTTACTTCTTTGAGAAATCTTCATATTATTTCTTATAGATGTTGTACTAACTTGCATTCCCAACAATAAGTGTTCCCTGTTCTCTGCATTCTTGCCATTTGTTGTTTTTCTGACTTTTTCATAATAGCCTTTCTGACTAGTATAAGATGATATCTCACTGTGGTTTTAATTTGCATTTCTCTAATGATTAGTGATATTAACCATTTTTATATGCCTATTGGCCATTTGAATGAAAAATATCCATTCATGTCATTTGTCCACTTTTTAATGGAATTATTTGTTTCAATTCATTGCTGTTGTTGAGTTGTTGGGAGTTCTGTATAAGTTTGAGATACTATTCCCTCTTCAAATGCATAGTTTGAAAGTATTTTCTCCCATTTTGCAGGTTATCTATTCACTCTGTTGATTATTTATTTTATTGTACAGAAGCTTTTTCATTTAATTAATTCAATTTTTCTATTTTTGTTTTTGTTGCCTGTTCTTTTGAGGTCTTAGTGATGAATTCATTGCTTAGACCAATGTCCAGAAGAGTTTTACCCGGGTTTTCTCCTAGAACTCATAGTTTCAGGTCTTACATATAAGTCTTTAATCTATCTTGAGCTGATTTTTGTACATAATAAGAAACAAGATCCAGTTTTATTATTTAAAGTAAACAAAAGCCATGTAAAAGTTTTAACATTTTTAAGTTAAATGTACTTTTTATTTATTTATTTATTATACTTTAAGTTCTGGGGTACATGTGCAGAATGTGCAGTTTTGTTACATATGTATACACGTGCCATGGTGGTTTACTGCACCCATCAACCCGTCATCCACATTAGGTACTTCTCCTAATGCTATACCTCCCATAGCCCCCCATCCCCTGACAACTCCCAGTGTGTGATGTTCCCCTCCCTGTGTCCATGTGTTCTAATTGTTCAGCTCCCACTTATGAGTGAGAAGATGCTGTTTGGTTTTCTGTTCTTGTGTTAGTTTGCTAAGAATGATGGTTTCCAGCTTCATCCATGTCCCTGCAAAGGACATGAACTCTTTCTTTCTTTCTTTCTTTCTTTCTTTCTTTCTTTCTTTCTTTGAGAAGGAGTCTCGCTCTGTCACCAGGCTGGAGTGCAGTGGCACGATCTCAGCTCACTGCAGCATCCGCCTCCTGGGTTCAAGTGATCTCCTGCCTCAGCCTTCCAAGTAGCAGGGACTACAAGCATGCACCACCAAGCGCAGCTAATTTTTTTGTATTTTTAGTAGAGATTGGGTTTCACCATGTTGGCCAGGATGGTCTCGATGTCATGACCTTGTGATCTGCCTGCCTCGGCCTCCCAAAGTGCTGGAATGACATGAACTCATCCTTTTTTATGGCTGCATAGTATTCCATGGTGTATATGTGCCTCATTTTCTTTATCCAGTCTAACATTGATGGGCATTTGAGTTGGTTTCAAGTCTTTGTTATTGTGGATAGTGCTGCAATAAACATACGTGCACATGGGTCTTTATAGTAGAATGATTTATGATCTTTTGGGTATATACCCAGTAACGGGATTGCTGGGTCAAATGTATTTCTAGTTCTAGAACCTTGAGGAATCGCCACACCGTCTTCCACAATGGTTGAACTAATTTACACTCCCACCAACAGTGTAAAAGCATTCCTATTTCTCCACATCCTCTCCAGCATCTGTTCTTTCCTGACTTTTTAATGATCACCATTCTAACTGGCGTGAGATGGTATCTCCTTGTGGTTTTAATTTGCATTTCTCTAATGACTAGTGACGATGGGCTTTTTTTCATAGGTTTATTGGCTGCATTAACGTCTTCTTTGGAAAAGTGTCTGCTCATATTCTTTGCCCACTTTTTGATGGGGTTGTTTTTTTCTTGTAAATTTGTTTAAGTTCCTTGTAGATTCTGGATATTAGCCCTTTTTCAGATGAATAGATTGCAAAAATTTTCTCCCATTCTGTAGGTTGCCTATTCACTCTGATGATAATTTTTAACAAGTTTTTCAGTCAAATTTACTTTTTAGAGTGGTTTCTTTGTTAGCAATGTGGAGAATTGTGACACAGATGGCATTAGTTGATAAAAATTGTGATTAGAAAGAAGTCAGTGGCAAAAGTCCAGAAAAGATGTGACAAATTAGAGGAGCAGATACTAAAGAATAAAATTTTAAAATATTTACTAGACATTAGGAATAGAGTGAGAGTAGCACATTGTATTTAGTTAATGGAGGAATATTTTGATCTAAATATGGTGGAATAATATTCTGCCTTTGAAAATCTTCTTCCCCGCCCATGGTGGTATTTTAGAGATAGGTATGAGGAGAGAATTGGCTGATTTCGTAATACGAAGGCAAGTAGCGGGCAAGTCACATGAGACCTGAATTTATTAAATGTTTTTTTTTTCCCCATATCAGTTAGCCAGGCTCATCAAGCATAATGATATCATGTACTGATAAATTATGAAAATTAGTTGTGGATATTTCAAAATAGGAAGGTAAGTATTTTTCAACAGCTATACAAACAGTATAACAATTAAGAGATTTTTGTCAAATATTAAGTAATACAGTCTTGTGATTACTATAGTAAGTTTCTCCCTGTTTCTTTCTAATAATACACTTTGTGAAGGAATGCCACAATTGTGGTTTCAATATAGAGTCATTTTTAAAATGCTAATCCAAATTTGGCAAAATACATAAGAAGCGTTTCTTTCATAAAAACAAACAGTGGAGACAGAAGGTTTAAAATGAGAAACACACCTAAATTTTGATTCATTATCAAGTAAACTGAAAAAAAGAACATTCACAATTTTGCAAATTATCAAACCTTATTTTTAATTTAAATTATAAATTAATTTATTCCAAACCAAAAGGCTGTTTGAGGCATGAAGAATTTCTTATGAATATTTTGAATTTTGCCAATCATAAGGCATAACTAGCATCTTAAAAAAATTAGTGTATAAGCTATCTGCTGATTTCACTTTTGTTACATCTTGAAATCATTAAGGGATATTCTAAAATGAGTTCTTACTATGCCTTGAATGCAACTAACCTTCAAAATACTCACTTGCTTATGAGTGTAAAAGGATATACATTGCTTTGCTGTATTCATGAAATTTAGCATGTGATGAAAACTGCCTATTCAATTTGTATCTATCTATAGGCAAATTTTAGAAAAAGCAGAGGCTGTCTTTATTGATCATTCCTTCATAATTACTGAATACATAATTTCTTAGTTATACAAGCCAAGTAACAAGAGAAGAATATCGTGCCATGATATCCAATTTACATAGATATTATATCCATTCTTATTTGAGATCCTGCTTATCTAGGTATTACTTTGTATTACAAAATTTAGATATGCAGGTTAACTCTCATTGAAGGCATACAGACTAGCTTCCACCCTGAAGCCCCAGAGAAAGCTGCAGGCATTTGTGTAGTCTACAATTGTCACCTCCAATCCCCAGGAATAGGTTTTATCACAGAATTCATTTTCACTGTCTTTTCAAGGATATGAGATTGCCTGAATTGCTGGCTGCAGAAATCTCAGTAATTTTTTTCACACACTAGCCCTGCAAAATTTGCCCCCTATGCGGGAAGAAGTCTCTAGAAATAAAGGGGTAGCAAGAATTTCTAACTCTCAAGAAGAAAATCATTTGTTTTAATTGTGTTTTGGTTTGTGCTATAATATAAATCATCTCTATTGCTACGTGATATGTACACAATAAATAGGTTTTCAGAATGATTAAACGCCTTGGCCTCACTTCAACTATTATTTTCAAAAGCCATTTATTCTGGGCGTAGGAGAAAACCATAGCAAATATTTATGAAATCATTTGAAACTAGTGTTATTTCTATGAGTATCTTCAATATTCTCATTTTTTCCTAAAGAGAGTGTGTTTTATGTTGGCAAAGTAGTAATTAAAAGACAGTTCATGCCTTTACAAAGTATTTCTTAATAACATAAATATTTCTGATTTCCTACAGATATTATAGCCTGAGTATTTACTTTTCCATCTTTTTATCCTCAAACAATTAGAATCCAGCAACATTTTAATAAAAATGACAGAAAATATAATTCACTTTAGAGGAGAATGTAGTAGAGTCAGTTATACTGCAATAAAGATACTCCAAAGTGCAAATCTAGAATGCATTATTGTCCATCATCTATGGATAGCAAAGATGTTTATTTAATTTTATAAACTTTGCATACTTAAAATATAATAAATTAGTATTCTCAGTGGAGAAATTTATAATGAAGTCGTTCTTAAAAAGCATCACTTTTTCTAATTACCTGAAGATTTACTAACTAAACAAAAAAATTATAATTTTCTTCTCTTTGTAACTATTTCTTCATTTCTATTTTGATAAGTATAGGATAAGTTTGCACTTCAGTAAAAACAAAATTTCAAATTGCAGTGGCTTAACACAATAGAGATTAATTTATTGATTATGTTACTTATTCATATATTTTGGATGGAGGCTCTGCTCCACACAGGCCCACAGAGCACTAGACTGACATAAGCTTCACCTTCTTATACCTGTAGAATCTGGAACAACTAGAACTGTATATTAGAAGAGACAACTGAAAAGGGATGTTCTAGATTATTTTTACTTTGGCTAGTAAGCAATAAACATTATTTCTGTGCATAGCTCCTTGTCAAAATTTAACACATTATGACCTCCAACTAGTCACGTAAATGTTAGAAGACATGGGTGAGCTTGTGAATATTTGTTGACCATTCTATTACTAACACATAAACATTAAGAAGAAAGAGGTGGGACTAGATGTAGCAGGTCCCCCCAGTTATAACACTTTGTGATCTTACATTTCCTTTTTTTTTTCAGCAGCTTATTTAATTTTATTTTCATTTACATAAAGTCCACTGTTGGTCTGGAAAATTCTGCAGGGCAGCTTTCCTGAAGGTGAGGGGCTTATTATTCCATACTGCTTCACTCTTACAGCATCTGTATTTGCATATGTTTCTATGATTCTGTGGAAAAAGAAAGTAAACTTCAACGTCATGCACCAGCTCTTAAATGCTCCTGACCAACAATGACATGTTACTTTCATTCATATTTCATTGGTTAAAACTATCTACATAATCACACTTCACTTTAGGGGAGTATATAGTCCTCTATGTACCCAGAAGTACAAGAGAACCAGATGTCAGAGAGTTTGCAATGTCTACTACTCTGCTAATTTTTAAAAAACCTCGGCCGGGTGCGGTAGCTCACACCTGTAATCCCAGCACGTTGGGAGGCTGAGGCTGTTGGAATACTTGAGGTCAGGAGTTGGAGACCAGCCTGGCCAACATGGTGAAACCCCACCTCTACTAAAAATACAAAAAGTAGCCAGGAGTGTGGCACGTGCCTGTACTCCCAGCTACTCGGGAGGCTGAGACAGGGCAATCACTTGAACGTGCTATTGCTACCCTTATTTGCTTATGAACCCAGTAGATTCTGCCACAGGTCCTTAGGTTTTGCATATATATCTGCACGCATTCGGGAAGCAGTTTGCTTGAATCACACCAATCTATCCATGCAGATTCTTCTATTCGCAAATCCACATGCACCGTTCTCAACCTGATTTTTCAGAAACATGGATTTGTGTTATTCTCTTCCACTGTGGTATCTCTATCTTTAGAATAAAATGTCTTAAGTTCTGGACAATAATACATCACTAAATTGTAAGAATAAAAAGTATTTATGGTAAAAATTAGACAATCACTTTATTGGCATGTGACTGTACAAAGACCAATGTTCTTTTCTTGACTCTATTTATTCTTCATAAAAATTTTGCTGGAATATAAGGTAAAAGGCTCTGTGTAACTAATAAACTTGTTTTTTTTTGAGTGGGAGATTGAAATATTCCCATATTCTACCTTTAATTTGCTTCACAGTGAATGCTAATAGTGAGCAGGTTAAATAAATTGCGTTTAATTTTTGTATTGCCAGCCAGTGTTAATTTCTTTCTTTTCCCAATAAATTAATCGACCTACCTGTATTTTAGGATAATTAGCATGAAAGGATAATTATTCTTTTCCAGAAGTAAAATGATCTCCCTAGATATACAGCAAAGGGTTACCATAAGTAGTCATATTTTCATTATTATTCAAAGTATCATTGGAAAGATCAATGTTCTTCTGAGCAGTTACTTACACTGCCCTTCCCATTATAGTGATTCTGCTCCCACAGAGCATTACCTGTTAGAAATAGTAACTTACTTCCAAGATATGATGCACAATTGGCTTCTTGACATTAAGTAGGTTTGTGAAAAAAAAGAAATTTCAATGGAATATAAAAATAACAATTTTTACATCTTTTTCCTTAAATTTGTATTAATAATAAGGTTGTTTTCTTACAGATATGACTTTATCTGCACATTTTAAAACAATAAAAGTGGCTAATCATTAATTTTATGGAGAGAATTTTATACTATGACCACACATTAAATATCATTTTATATTTAATTAAATCATTACAAATTATATTATGTAACAATTTGTTATATCTTTATCATGACCAAAGTCACCAAAATTTCTGGTCAGGCAAATTAACTCATCATCTTCAATAAATGTGACTTATAGTCATGTAGTTTTAGAAAGCTCAAGAGAAGATTATGTTAATTACATTGATTTGATGATATCCTGGAGATAGTTTCCTAAAATCTATGTTTATGTTACATTTGAATATTCTAAAATAAAGTATTAACTTTAAAGTTAACACACTTATATGTTTTTAAAAAATGATAAAAAGAAAAAAATTATAAAAACTTTTCAAGTCTTGAACTCATTCAGAGTAAAATTTAATAAGGCAGTAAGACTAAGGGGCCAGTAGTAGACTCAACTAGGAAGTAATTCTTGTACTAAAAAAAAATACTCCTCTGTATATGGTATATTCCAGTGAATTGTAATTATGGTGTTATAATAGTGGTTTTGATTCTTTGGGGACCAATTTGTAAAGAATTTTTCTCTTAGAGCCAATAGAAAACCCACGGACAATTAATTTAAGTCCCGTTTCTACCTAGGCATGCATGAATAAAAATTAGGTAATTTAATGTGAATCTCATTGTTAGCATACCAAAAACACATAAGAATAGGCTTAAAATTTTTTTCTACTTACAGGTGCACTGCACTAAACATCTATTTTAATTGCTGTATGTGTTCTCACTTGTATTGTGGTTAGTGAGCTTTTAAAAATAATGCATTTTCTTCCCTAATGGGTAGACTTTAACCAAAGTGTTTCATAAGCTACAAATCAGGTATATATTTCAACGGTATTTTTGGAGACACTTAATCATATTATTTAATCAAAAATTATTGGGAAAAGATCAGCAAAAGTGTTCTAAAACCGCAAACACTAAAGCAGAAGCTAAACTCTCTGAGGTAGTACCCTGGTTAACACATGTGGAGACCTCGTTTTCATGCTGTGAGGCTTTATCATATATAAAACCGCATAATCAACTAATTACTAGGCACTGAAGTCTATTCATAGAGATGATCAAAATAAGAAACAACTGTAGTTTAACTTAAGACAGATTTTGTTGTTTTTTTCATTACCTACATTTCCAGATATAAAATAGAAATTCTCGATTATGACAGAGTAATGGCAAAGCTGTTTCTAAAAATCTTTTTAAATATGGTTTTTGTTTTAATTATAGGCATTAATCTCTTTTCTTTCCTACTTAAAGCTATAAACTTCATGGAATCCTTACAGTATTTAGTAGAATTCTGTTATTAGAAACTGGCAACTTATGATTCCTTTCAGCTGATGACATAGTTTTTGATACCTGCAGGAAGTAGTCCTTTCAAATGATGATCCTGTCAACCCATTCTATTCTGTAATTCATAAAAATAATGCTCTGTGTGCTTTACTTCTAGAAAGCTTGACTCCAAAGTTTTATTTTTAGCTATATACATTGGCAGCCAGACATTTGTATGAAGGGGCATCCACCATAATTATTTCATACCAAGTGTAGTCCAACCACTGCTCATGAATTCAGGTATCATTATTCTTACCCAACAATTCTGGCACTGTTATCCTTCATTGAATAAACTGGAAATGCAGACGGATAATCTGGAACTATTCCATGTGAATATTTTTAAAAATCACAATTATTATGAAGCATAAATTTGTAAGGTACATTTTATATACATTGTGAGGTATATTTTAATAGATAGGGTTGTGATTATTAACTGTATCATTTTCTAAATCAGATGTGATATTAGAAGATCGTTTACATGAATAAGATTTATGCAACTCTGCTGCTTTAAGGCTGTATTTGAAGTCGAGGTTGTTCTTTTTATTACGGTATTGAAAAGCAAAATGAGTTTGATTCAGGAGAAACAAAATGCTTTGAATTCAGTAGTTCAAGGGCCACATTTAAGTCTATTTCCTTAGAAAAAAATGTTCACTGCCATGGAAAAATATTAGTCCAGGTTTTAAAGATACATTGAAGTTCTCAGATTTCAACCTATCTTTTGGTACTTTAGTAATGATAACTATCTTTTTCTTCCTAATGGTTTTCTCTGGTCAGATGTCTTTATTCCACTTGTATCCCTTCCTCTTTATTTTCTTGCTTGATCACTGAAAATGTGATGGGTTAGTTTGCTTTCTATAAATGCAGCCCCATGGACTGATTACATAGCAATGGAAATATACCCCAAAAGTGGGCACTGCTGGATGGCACAAAATCCTTCAAATACTTATACGTCATTTCCTGAGGAACTCATATGCAATTCCTGGGAATTCCAGAGACCATATAAGGTACTCTTATTACTTTGTATTGCTGCTCAGCACATTACATATATCAGTAATGTAGTTATAACTCAGTGATATTTTTTGTACTATGCATATCACCATACCATTATTTTCTGTTTGTTACTGAATATAGTTTGAATATTTGTCCCTTCCAAATCACATGTTGAAATGTAATGTAATGAAATATAATCTCCTATGTTGGAGGATGGGCCTGGTAGGAGATGTTTTGGTCATAGGAGGTGGATCCTTCATGAATTGCTTTGTGTCATTCTTGTGGGATTGATGCAGTTCCTCAGAACTGCAGATGTATTTCTAAAAGAGAAGTAAGGCTTATATGAGATCTCTACCCAAAAGTCACTGGAAAGAAAGTAATCAACAGATTTAGATTCAGATAACATCCTAGATATTTGAACTATGAGAAGAGAAATTTAAAATAACTATGTGAATGTATTAAAAACGAGTTGAAAAAGGTATATAAAATGTGTAAGCAAAAGAAAAATTGCAACACAGTAATGGAAAATATAAGAAACATTAGAGGAAACTCTTTAGACAGAAGAATATTGATATCAAACAGACACATGAATCTACTCAAGGAAATAAAGGTCTTCATAAGTGGCTAAAAATGAGATAAATATAAAAGACATAGTTTTGTCTATGGTTATCAAAGATTATATAAATATTTAAAGGCTATATAAGATTTTTATCTCACTCAAGAAAAATATGGTAGCAATGTATTTCAAGTTTACAAAATTTATCAAAGAAAATATATGGCAAACTAGTAAAAAAGATGATAAAGAAGAATTGCATACATATTACTCAAAAGTCATTCTGCTATATATGTAGTAGTGTATATCTATTACAAAACAGACTGTGATTAAATTCATATGCTACAAATTCTAGGAAAATTAATATATTTTAAAATTGTTAGAAATAATGTAACAATTACTGAAATAAAATGGAATTTTAGAAGACAGCTCAAAATGAAGCAGAAAAAGGGGTAAAATAGCAAGAATAAAACAAAAAAAAATCAATGGGCAGAAAAAATAGAAAACCATTGACAAGATTTAGATCCTCCTTTAAACATTTAAATAATTTCATTATATATAATTGGTATAAGCAAATTAATTAAAATTGAGTTTGTCAAGTTGAAAAATAGAGAAATAACCCAGCTATGGGCTATATACAAGAACCTACTTTAAGTACAAGTAGGGCTGGGCAAACTAAGGCCTGGTGGCTAAAACTGTCCCATCATCTGTTGTTTCATTGCTCATGAGCAAATATAGTTTGTAGATATCATAAATGGCTAAAAATAATTTAAAATAATAATATTGTGTTACTTGTGAAAATTATATGAACTACAAATTCCAGTGATCAAAAATATCTTCCTAAGAACACAACCATGTTCATTAATTCATGTATTGTCTATAGCTATGTCTGTATTACAAAAGCAGCATTGAATCCTGTGACAGGCACCATATATAACACTCTTATTACTTTGTATTCCTGATCAGCACATTACATATATCAGTAATGTAGTTATAACTCAGTGATGTTATTGTACAATGTATATCAACATACCATTATTTTCTGTTTGTTACTTACTATAGTTTGGATATTTGTCCCTTCCAAATCTCATGTTGAAATGTATTGTAAAGTAATGAAATATAATCTCCTATGTTGGAGAATGGGCCTGGTAGGAGAAGTTTGGGTCATAGGAGGCAGATCCTTCATGAATTGCTTTTTGCCCTTCCTGTGGGATTGAATGAGTTCTCATGAGATCTGGTTGTTATAAAGTGTCTGAAACCTCTCATCCCCCTCTGTTCCCCTCTTGCCATATGACATGCTTTCTTTCTCTTCACTTTCAGTCATGAGTAACTTCTGGAAACCCTCATGAGAAATAGGTTCTGATGCCATGCCTCTTGTAGAGGTTGCACATCTGTGAGCCAAATAAACCTCTTTAATTTGGTAAATTACCCAACATCAGGTATTCCTTTATACCTGACTAAATTAACTAATTGACTAAAATATTACTAATTTATAATCATCATGTCATAAAAAGAGACAGTGAGAGAGAGAGAGAGATGGACTATGAATCTCACACTCTTAATGGCAAATAAGAGTGTGTATTGTTTTATTATTGAATTCTATCACAAACTTTTCTGTTCATTATGCAATATCACTGTATCTGTACTAAAAGAATACAATATATGTTGATATTACCAGACTAAGCATCCTTCACTGTATTCTCAACTAACATAAAAACAACAGTTGAAGTATTATAAAAGTAAAAATGAAATGTCTAAGAATTTCCAGGTGCCGGAGGGGATATGGAGAAATACAAACACTTTTACACTGTTGGTGGGACTGTAAACTAGTTCAACCATGTGGAAGACAGTGTGACGATTCCTCAAGGATCTAGAACTAGAAATAACATTTGACCCAGCCATCCCATTACTGGGTATATACCCAAAGGACTATAAATCATGCTGCTATAAAGACACATGCACACGTATGTTTATTGCGGCACTATTCACAATAGCAAAGACTTGGAACCAACCCAAATGCCCATCAATGATAGACTGGATTAAGAAAATGTGGCACATATACACCATGGAATACTATGCAGCCATAAAAAATGATGAGTTCATGTCCTTTGTAGGGACATGGATGAAGCTGGAAACCATCATTCTCAGCAAACTATCGTAAGGACAAAAAACCAAACACCGCATGTTCTCACTCATAGGTGGGAATTGAACAATGAGAACACTTGGACACAGGAAGGGGAATATCACACACTGGGGCCTGTTGTGGGGTGGGGCGAGAGGGGAGGGAAAGCATTAGGAGATATACCCAATGTAAATGACGAGTTACCGGGTTCAGCACACCAACATGGCACATGTATACATATGTAACAAACCCGCATGTTGTGCACATGTACCCTAGAACTTAAAGTATAAAAAATAAATAAATAAATAAATAAATAAAAAGGAAATGTAACCAAAACAGTATTCTAAGTGCCTGAGTTGTTAGCCAAGCCAGGAAGTCGTTGACTGATGCTTAGTTAATTAAATCATGGTAGCTTAGAAAAGCCAGAGAAAATAAATCTTTTTAAGGACTATGAGCCTTCCATTGCAGGAATTTTCTTTTATTTTAGAATTTTGGGGGCAATATCAATAATCAATAATTGTTTAAGGTAAACGATTTCAAGATGTTTGCTTTGGCTTTTAATAAACTGGCAAATATTTCTGAAACTTCTCAATTGTTGTATATCCAAAGAGTTAATCGAAATTTAAAAGTGAATTAGAAATGAACCTCTATGAATAATCTGGGAACAACTACAGAAAAAAATATTTTCAAAGTAGTTGAGAAAACACTAATTCATTACAGCCTAGAGTGGGATCTACTAAGATGTGTTAATATGTATGGGGAGCAAAAAATATTTTAGTTAAGCAAATTTGCAAAGCTCATTCAAATGTAAGCCTTGATTATTCAATGTATTATTCATCAGCAAGTGCTTTGCAGAAATATTTCAATATCTTATCTGTAATTATAATAGAATAAGATGTGTTAATGATGAATTTCATTTGTTCTCATGTACTTAACCATCATCAGCTACAGAAATGTTTCTAGAAAACAAAAGATAAATATTCTGACTTGCCCTACCACACAGCATTTTGCTGCTTAGAAGTATTAAAATTTTGTGATGACTTAATGTTTTTTATCTGAATGAAAAAAATGACCTCAACTACTATTATGGAATACTAAATTGCCTAGTAAATTAGCTTTTTCTAAAGATGTGGTGATGTTTCTGAATAAATTTGACCAATAATACAAAAAAATAATTATTTTATTTAAAAGTTATACCATAATAGTCATTTATTTATTTTTTCATATATAATGTATTTTATTGTATTACAATTAGTTATTATATTATAATGAAAGGAAATACACTTCAAAATCACACATCAGTTAGGTAAAATCAAACTATATGTTTTCTAGAGATTCATACCTAAGTCTGAAAACTATAAAGTAGAGCAGATAATTTGAAAATAGTAGTTTTTCTCCTTTTCTTTTCTTTCTTTTGATTTTTTAAATATGTTTATATATATTTTATTATACTTTAAGTTCTAGGGTACATGTGCACAATGTGCAGGTTTGTTACATATGTATACATGTGCCATGTTGGTGTGCTGCACCCATTAAGTCATCATTTACATTAGGTATATCTCCTAATGCTATCCCTCCCACCTTCCCCCACCCAACAACAGGCTCCGGTGTGCAATGTTCCACTTACTGTGTCCAAGTGTTCTCATTGTTCAATTCCCTCCTATGAGTGAGAACATGCGGTGTTTGGTTTTTTTGTCCTTGCAATAGTTTGCTGAGAATGGTGGTTTCCAGCTTCATCCATGTCCCTACAAAGGACATGAACTCATCATTTTTATGGCTGCATAGTATTCCATGATATATATGTGCCACATTTTCTTAATCCAGTCTATCATTGATGGGCATTTGGGTTGGTTCCAAGTCTTTGCTATTGTGAATAGTGCTGCAATAAACATACGTGTGCATGTGTCTTTATAGCAGCATGATTTATAATCTTTTGGGTATATACCCAGTAATGGGATGGCTGGGTCAAATGGAATTTCTAGTTGTAGATCCCTGAGGAATCACCACACTGTCTTCCACAGTGGTTGAACTAGTTTACAGTCCCACCAACAGTGTAAAAGTGTTACTATTTCTCCACATCCTCTCCAGCACCTGTTGTTTCCTGACTTTTTAATGATTGCCATTCTAACTGGTGTGAGATGGTATCCCATTGTGGTTTTGATTTGCATTTCTCTGATGGCCAGTGATGGTGAGCTTTTTTTCATGTGTCTGTTGGCTGCATAAATGTCTTCTTTTGAGAAGTGTCTGTTCATATCCTTCGCCCACTTGTTGATGGGGTTGTTTGTTTTTTTCTTGTAAATTTGTTTGAGTTCATTGTAGATTCTGGATATTAGCCCTTTGTCAGAAGAGTAGATTTCAAAAATTTTCTCCAATTCTGTAGGTTGCCTGTTCACTCTGATGGTAGTTTCTTTTGCTGTGCAGAAGCTCTTTAGTTTAATTAGATCCCATTTGTCAATTTTGGCTTTTGTTGCCATTGCTTCTGGTGTTTTAGACATGAAGTCCTTGCCCATGCCTATGTCCTGAATGTTATTGCCCAGTTTTTCTTCTAGGGTTTTTATGGTTTTAGGTCTAACATGTAAGTCTTTAATCCACCTTGACTTAATTTTTGTATAAGGTATGAGGAAGGGATCCAGTTTCAGCTTTCTACGTATGGCTTGCCTGTTTTCCCAGCACCATTTGTTAAATAGGGAATCCTTTCCCTATTTCTTGTTTTTGTCAGGTTTGTCAAAGATCAGATGGTTGTAGATGTGTGGTGTTATTTCTGAGGCCTCTGTTCTGTTGCATTTGTCTATATCTCTGTTTTGGTACCAGTAACATGCTGTTTTGGTTTGTAGCCTTGTAGTATAGTTTGAAGTCAGGTAGTGTGATGCCTCCAGCTTTGTCCTTTGGCTTAGGATTGACTTGGCGATGCGGGCTCTTTTTTGGTTCCATATGAACTTTAAAGTAGTTTTTTCCAATTCTGTGAAGAAAGTCATTGGTAGCTTGATGGGGTGGCATTGAATCTGTAAATTACCTTGGGCAGTACGGCCATTTTCATGATATTGATTCTTCCTACTCATGAGCATGGAATGTTCTTCCATTTGTTTGTATCCTCTTTTATTACATTGAGCAGTGGTTTGTAGTTCTCCCTGAAGAGGTCCTTCACATCCCTTGTAAGTTGGATTCCTAGGTATTTTATTCTCTTTGAAGCAATTGTGAATGGCAGTTCACTCATGATTTGGCTCTCTTTTAGTCTGTTACTGATGTATAAGAATGCTTGTGATTTTTGCACATTGATTTTGTATCCTGAGACTTTGCTGAAGTTTCTTATCAGCTTAAGGAGATTTTGGGCTGAGACGATGGGGTTTTCTAGATATACAAACATGTCATCTGCAAACAGGGACAATTTGACTTCCTCTTTTCCTAACTAAATACCCTTTATTTATTTCTCCTGCCTGATTGCCCTGGCCAGAACTTCCAACACTGTGTTGAATAGGAGTGATGAGAGAGGGCATCCCTTTCTTGTGGCAGTTTTCAAAGGGAATGGTTCCAGTTTTTGCCCATTCAGTATGATATTGGCTGTGGGTTTGTTCATAAATAGCTCTTATTATTTTGAGATACGTCCCATCAATAACTAATTTATTGAGAGTTTTTAGCATGAAGGGCTGTTGAATTTTGTCAAAGGCCTTTTCTGCATCTATTGACATAATCATGTGGTTTTTGTCTTTGGTTCTGTTTATATGCTGGATTACGTTTATTGATTTGCATATGTTGAGCCAGCCTTGCATCCCAGGGATGAGGCCCACTTGATCATGGTGGATAAGCTTTTTGATGTGCTGCTGGATTTGGTTTGCCAGTATTTTATTGAGGATTTTTGCATCGATGTTCAGCAAGGATATTGGTCTAATATTCTCTTTTTTTGTTGTGTCTCTGCGAGGCTTTGATATCAGGATGATGCTGGCCTCATAAAACGAGTTAAGGAGGATTTCCTCTTTTTCTATTGATTGGAATAGTTTCAGAAGGAATGGTACCAGCTCCTCCTTGTACCTCTGGTAGAATTCAGCTGGGAATCCGTCTGGTCCTGGACGTTTTTTGGTTGGTAAGCTATTAATTATTGCCTCAATTTCAGAGCCTGTTATTGGTCTATTCAGGGATTCAACCTCTTCCTGGTTTAGTCTTGGGAGGGTTTATGTGTTGAGGAATTTATCCATTTCTTTTAGATGTTCTAGTTTATTTGCATAGAGGTGTTTATATTATTCTCTGACAGTAGTTTGTATTTCTGTGGGATCTAGTCATTTAAAAGACAATGCTTTTGAATTACAAGTAACAGTATGCTTGTTTATGCATTTCTTGTGCAGTAAAAATATGAAACAATAAGATCTATAGTGTAAACTTTATAGCAAACACTCAAGCAACAAAAGTTATGTTGAAGTGAACAAGAAAAATTTGAACATTAAAAGCATATTCAACTAATGCTAAAAAGCAGAAGTGGATTTAAAAAAATAAGGAATTGGCAAACAAAAACATGATGATAAATTCATATCTAACCGTACAGAACCCACATTAATGTAAATATCATTAATTCCAGAATTGAAAAGCATACATTTTCAAAATAGATTTAAATAGCAAGACTAAATTATATGCTGCCAAAACCAAACACTTTAAGTGTAAAGATAGAAAGTAGAAGAATGGAAACACATATGTTGTGATAAAACAAATGAAGAGAAATCTGGACCCAGTGGAATAGAGAAGAAAGCCCATAAATAAATTCAAACATATATGTGTTCAAAAAATTTTCCATGAAGGCATCATGAAGACATAATAGGGAAAGCTTAGGATCTTCAATAAATTGTATTGAGAAAAATGCATATTCACATTTAAAAAAATAAAATTAGATCCTTATTTTACTATCTTACACCATACTCAAAAATAAACTCAAAATGAATTCAATATCTAAACCTAAGATGTGAAACCATAAAAATCTTAGAAAAAATCATAGAAGAAAAGGTTTTTGACATTGGTCTTAGCAATAATGTTTTGAATATTGTATCAAAACTCAGGCTACAAATACAAAAATAAGCAAGTGGGACTATGTTAGTCTACAAAAACAAACCTACAAAATGCAAAGCAAACAGTCAACTAAATGAAAAAGTGATCAGTAGATTTGAAGAAAAATGTACAAATCATATCTATGATAAGGAGTTACTATCCAGAATTTATAAAGAACTCATATGACCCAAAAGCAAAAAATGAGCAAAGGCACATAAATAGTTTTATTTCCAAAGAGGACCTAAAAATCGCCAACAGGTACATATGAAAAGATACACAATATCACTAATCATCAGTGAAATGAAAATCAAAAGTACTATGTAAAACTGCTTCACATCCATTAAAATAGCTATTATCAGAAAAACAAGAGTTAAAAAGGGTTGGCAAAGGTGTGGAGAAAAGGGAAGTCTTGTACAGTGCTGATGGGAGTCTAAGTTGGTGCAGCCATTATCAAGACAGTATGGAAAGGAAGGTCTTTTAAAGTTTAAAAATAGAAATACCATAAAATCCAGCAATCCTTCTGGGTATATATCCAAAAGAAATAAAAGTATTGCCTTGTAAATAATTCTGCCTTCTGATGTTCTCAACAGTCTTATTCACAATAGCCAAAACATCACAACAACCTAAGTGTCCACTGATAGATGAAGAAATGGTGAAACTGAAATATGCACAGACACACACAAACACACACATACGCATGCACATGTGAGACAAGAAAAAAACAATTTTATGTCAAAATTATACTATAATAGTAACTTATAATATAGTGTTTGAATTACAGCTATTATCAAGCATTTTCATGCATCTCTTGTGCTGAAATATTTAAAACAATGAAGTGTGTACTGTAAACATTATAACAAGCACTTGAATAACAAAAGTTATGACTAAATAAACAAGAAATGAAGTTAGAACATTAAAAAATATTATATTAATCATATATATGTAACTATGTAAATATATAACATGTCTATATAATCCATCTGTATTAGTTAGGGTTCTCCAGAGGGACAGAATAGGATATATGTATATATGAAAGGGAGTTTATTAGAAAGAATTGGCTCACATGATCACAAGGTGAAGTTCCATCATAGACAGTCCATCTGCAAGCTGAGGGAGAAAGAAGCCAGAAGTGGCTCAGTCTGAATCCAAAAGTCTCAAAAGTAGGGAAGTCGACAGTGCAGCCTTCAGTCTGTGGCTGAAGTGCGAGACCCCCCAACCCCACCCCAGCAAACCACTGGTGTAAGTCCAAGAGTCCAAAGGCCGAAGAACCCGGAGTTTGATGTCCAAGGGCAGGAAGAACGGAAGGAAGCATCCAGCACAGGGAAAGATAAAAACCAGAAGACTCGGCAAGCCAGCTTAACTCCTACCTTCTTCCACTCGTTTTGTTCTACCACTGGCAATCGACTGGATGGTGCCCACCCACAATGAGGGTGGGTCTACCTCTCCGAGTCCACTGACTCAAATGCTAATCTCTTCTGGCAACAACCTCACAGACACACTCAGAAACAATACTTTAATCAGCTACCTAGGCATCGTTTGTTGGGAGAAAAGCTGAGTGTTGGGAGAGAGGCTGAGGTGGGTCTTGTATGTCTGACATAATATAAAAGAGTCTTGGAACATGTCCGGGGTCCAGAGTCTAAAACCCCTCATGGCCTTTGGAACACCAAGCTCTGTGCTAAAGCATGGAAGACTACCCTGACACACCATAATATAAGCCCAGGGCATAAAACCCCTCGTGGCTTGGATAGAATCCAGGGCTCGTGATTCTGGAATAGACTTGCTGGCTCCTTGCTCCTTGGTCTCCCAGAACTGATTGTATCCTGAGTTAGAAGAACCTGCTCTCCATCATCTCATGTAGCAGAGCATATGCTAAACCATTACAGCTGTAAATCATGTGCTTAATGCAACACGCCCTTTCGCCCCCCACATTCTCACCACCTGTTTCTTTGTTTGATCACCAATAAATAGTCTGGGCTTCCAGAGCTCGTGGCCTTTGCAGCCTCCATACTTAGCAATGGTCCCCTGTTCCCACTTTCTCTCTCAAACTGTCTTTTCTCATTCCTTTGACTCCACTGGACTTCGTCACCCCCATGACCTGGTGTTGGGTCCAATCACCCCAACATCCTTCAATACAATCAAGTTGACACCTAATATTAACCATCACACTATTCTTATAAAAAGAGGAAATTCTGCCATTTGACATGCCATGAATAAACCAGGAAGACATTATGCTAAATGAAATCAGCCAGACACAGGAAGAAAAATAGTGCATTTTTTAAAAAAGTGATATATAAAGAGAAAATAAAACAGCAATTACCATGGTCATGGTAGGGTAGTGGCAAGAAATGAGAAATGTAAGTCAAAGAATATAAAACAGTAGATATGTCGGATAAACAAGTCTAGAGATCTAAGCTACAATATGAGGGCTATAGTTAATAATAATGTAATATATTTGGGATTTTGACTAACTGAATAGATTATAGCTACTCTTGCCGCACACACTTACAAAAATATGTAGAACAAAGTGCAATGTTGTATATGTTAACTCGCTTCACTATAGTAATTTTTCACTATTTGAATATCATAGTATCTTATATACTTTATACACAATAAAATTTATTTTTAAGTAATACTTTATAAAGAAATCTGGAGTTATTACATTAGTGCCACCATAGGTAGATTTCAGATCAAAGGAAATTAAATTAAATAAGATCATTTTATGATTGATAAAGTAGTCAATTTATTGAACAGACATATGAAATGCTTAAGTTTTATACAACCAATGACAGAGTTTAAAATTAAAAGAAATGGAGACTGATAGAATAGCAAAATAAGGTGTACAATGGACATAGAGGGTGGAAACTTTTAAGGGTAGGAATCTAGGAGGAGAGTGAGGGATGAGAAATTACTTAATAGGTACAAGATACACTGTTCGGGTGATGCTTACAATAAAAGCCCAGAGTTTACCAATATGCAATATATCCTTGTAACAAAACTGCACTCGTAGCCCTTAAATTTATATAAATGAAAAGAAAATCAGTAAGCATATCAAAAATTTGAACAACTTGACCTAACTGATAATTGCAGAAGATACTATGCAAAGCCAAGAGTTCATATTGTTTTCAAGTGTACTCAATATAATTATAGGGATGGATCATATTGTAAACTATAAAATAAGTCTTTATATGTTTAAAATAACAAATTGTCCAAACTATTTTCTCACAATGATGAAATTAAACTTGGAATAAATAACAGAAATATCTCCATGAACTACAGAAATAGTTGAAAACTAAATCCACATTGCAAAATAACACAGTGTTCAAAAAGAAAACTCCAAAATCAATTAGAGAGTATTTTGAACTGAATAAAAATTCAATTTTGTAAACTTTTATGGATTCTATTAGAGCAGTAATTAGGGGAAGAATTCATAATATTAAACTTCTGTGTTAGCTTGATTTATTTATTATTCAAGGCATTTATATGTCAAAAATCACACTGTACCTTATAAATATATACAATAAAAGTGCTACTTGCTCACCATATTGAAAAGGAATATGTAATAAAGAGGACTACTTGTTCTGAAATTGTAATATAGAGGCAAAGTGTCTCACTCCTTCCCACAGAAAACCGAAATCAAATGTGCAATGTAGACATTATCACTAGCAATATCCTAGAAGTTAAATACTCAAATATGAGGAGACAATTCCTATGGTACAGAGAAATAAAAAACCTAAAAGATGCTAAGAGAGTTGGACTACCATATCCATGACGCCTCTCTTCCAAGTTTACCCATCACCAAGAGCGCAGAAAGTTTTCCTCTGACTCACAGTTTCTAACTTAAAAAGGTAATATTAAGTTGGACAAATAGTTTCCCCATCATCTTGGGTTGCCTGGCAGGACACCTATCTCTACCTCAACCCACAGAAAGCATTGCGGGTATCTGAAGAAAGGAATATCCCCAAGGACAGCCAGAAACAAAGGAAGCAAGGGGAGACGACTAGCCCCAGACCTGGAAACTCTGCTCTGTGATTTAGCCAAAGGAGACATCAAATTGAAGTGGCGGTTCCATAGCATCATGCTAAAGGAGGTTTGTTTCACAGGTTTCCTGAACATGAACCCCTAGACAGCCTTCTCATACTACCAAGATATTCCCTTTGGTACATCTTCCATTCAGGACAAGTGGCCCTCTGATTGTTTCCTAGAACCTAGGCAAACTGGGGCTTATTGTGTCATCCAGTGCTGAAAAGGAAGGAGTGACCTAATGACGGAAAAAGATGGAAAATCATAAGGAAAATGTTAAACAATCTCTAGGCAAATACATCCAATTAAAAAAATGGAACAAGACAGGTGTTAAAGGAAACTAAATAAGGTACGAGAAGGACTCGGTTCTTCTATATTTGAGTCCTTGTAGACAAACTGCAACCTAACTTAATAGGTAAGCTGTACTTAAGTAATACAATGTTGAGTGTTCAAACTGTGTTCAAATATGGTAAATGTGAACCTGAAACCAATTCAGCTCTTTCTGTACGTCACCTCCAATTTCCGTACGTCGTTTCCCTTTTTTTGTCTGTAAATTTATTCTGACGATGAGGTGCCCCTGGAATCTCTCTGAATCTGCTGTGATTCTGGGGGCTGCATGATTCTTGAATCATTCATTGCTAAATTAAACTTCTTCAAAGTTAATTTGGTTAAAGTTTTTATTTTAACAGATGGTATCAGAAGTGGGATTATAACAGGTAATTGGAACTGCTAAAAAAAGTTTTACATGCAAGGTGTATGAAGAGAGTGAAATGGTGCTTTTGGTAAAAGATTATAAGAAGGCATGGGAAGGTAAATTTTTGCCTAAGGGGTTAAAGGATTTTTACATTAGATAAGATAAAGCTAAATGTTTGAGCAAGTTGTGGAAGGTTTGTAAAAATTAATCTGGTAAATGAAATTCTGTGTGTCAACATACAGACTAAATTTAAAGGAGTATTGTTTGTTATTTTGTAAATTAAACATTGAAATAAAAAGCACAACAGGGTTTTCTTAAAACTCTAATCTGCTTATTCACAAAAATTGTAAAAGGTTTATAAGAACCTCACCTCATGGTCAGACTGGTTATGCATAATATCAAGTGTTTTAAACCTTTAAGGTATTTGATAGGCGTCCCCAGATAAATTTCAGCTTCAAAATTGTCTTTTCTGACCTCCAACTTTGAGATGCCACAGAAGGCCCCTGAAGCATTCAAAACAGAGGTAAACAGGATTATTTGACATGTTTAGTTACATGGGAAACATTGTAAAAATTTTAAAAAAAAAGGTTAATCTTTTTCAGGTTATATTTTAGTGAATTATATTAATATATGTTCCAAAATTGTATGGATTTTCTAAAATTCTAATATGTCTGAGTATATTCTATCAATCATAATTATGGTTATTGTGTTATTAGAGACCACAGAAATAAACAAGTTTCCTTGCCAATTGTGTCTTTATGACTATTTAAAGTCATTCCCATAGTTAATTGCTTAATGCTGATGCAGTTTCTGAAAGCTTCACAAGCACTCAGAATCCTAGAATATGTTGTCTTTTAGGAGATTCAGGAAAGGATGGAAAGGACTCTAAAAATCTATCTTGAATACAGGTTTCTAATAATTTTAAAATCATATCCTTTGAACTGGAACTTCAAGGAAAAGACTGACTGGTTTATAAAACTACTAACCCAAGGAGAACAAAAATTAAATACCAAGAAAACACTTTTCCAGATTTTCATGTTAAATCAGCTGATATTGAAATTGTTTAGATGTACAATTTGAATGAACTCCATAGTATATGTCAAATTACCTATGATAACCCATGTTATCAGTGCTATGCACCTAAAATGGAGAAACAACTGGTATGCAAGAGGGCATAAGTCCAACATCAAACATGGACTCATGGAGAACCAGGACAGCCACCTTGTCTTTCTTGAGTCCTTAAAGCTTCTGTTACTAAAGATTCTGCATTCCACGACTTATCATGGAAAAGATAAAATGATCCACATTAAATACATATTTGTGTGGTGACTTATAAATTGCTGAAATAGTTTATAACTAATGTTTGGTTTGTTAAATCCATATTCCTGGGGAAACAGTTTCAGGTACATTTGGCTATGTGATGGGCCATTTAAACATTTACAAAGGGATTTCATTCAATTGTCATTTTCAATGCATGTTTTCTGATTCTACAAAAGCTCTCTCATGCAAGAGGGCTGATGTTGTAACGGTAGATTATCGTGTTACAGTGTATTTTCACCAGGTAAAGAAAGGTTTTTATGGTTCACTGAAAATATTCAATCCCCTCACAATCTAGAACCCAAAGATTGGATCTTCTGAGAACATCAGAGAAAGACTGTCTTTGCCATCCACAGTGCAACAAAACTTCAGGATCTTGAACCTTGGGTTCATAATCTCATAACTGAGAGGGGTCTCTCCACACTCTTGGAGCTGTGCATATAGTGGAATCCTAAAAGAAAAGCCAACTAAGGAAGTCTCTCCAACGATAATGGTATCCTGTATGTGAACAACTTTTCCTAAGACTTGATCAAGACTTCTACTGTCATCTGAATCTTATCTTTGAATGTATTTTCCTTGTGTCTGTCTCTATGAACAATAGAAATAAAAGAGGGTCTGATGTGTGCACTTATGGAGTATACTTCTATTTGTGAAGGATTTTGAAGCCAGCATTTTACATGGAAGAACTTACACTTCGAACGATACAAGATGAAGTCCCAATGTATGTGAGAAAATTTAATGGTACATATGTTGCTCATAATCCATCAGAAACAGAACACTGATTCACTCCTCTTAACCCACATCATGGGTTAAAGAGAACATTGCCAGGAAGCCTTCACTATTCTAGAAGGGCATCATTCGTTAGGTCCTTTTTCCATGGATTGGAATAAAGGAGGCAATAATTAGAAATGTATCCCTCATCATAGGCCCTATAGCAGATTCTACTGTAAAGGCTATAGTCATAAAATGGATTTTAAATTATCTTGTGAAAGTTAGGTTAAATATTACAATTGGCTAAACAGAAAAATATCTGTGCAGCTGCTGGTACTTGTGGCCTATGGAAAAATACATCAAATGTAGATTATAAAAATTCAGTTGTAGGGTATTAATGAAAAGACCACTTAGTTAAGCAAGTGCACTCTTCATCTAACTCATTCTTTGATGTATTTGATTTTAAGTGGTTTGGTTTGTGGAGACCTTGGGTAAGGAGCATGCTCCGAACTCTTCATATTCTCTTCCTGATAGTGATAATAATAGTCTTCCTGGTATGCTGTATTATCTCAAAGGTTTTAAATATTTGCATGCAGCCATCTCTAGAATGTCAACTGGTCTCTATCCAACTGGAATGACAAGAGCTGAAGGAAATGTGAGACCATGAGGACACCATAACCTATGAATGGCATGCTGAGACTGGAAACACAAAATGATGGTAACTGAGAGTGGTGAGAAGGCCGTAAGTTTTGATCACTCTCACCTAAATAAGAACCTGACCAAAAAGGGGGAATTTGTAAACAAAATTATAGGAGGCCATTTTTGTGGAGTGAGCTCATGTACTAGGCCCCAACAAACAAACCAAACAAAAATGGAGATGCTCATTCTAAATGTGACATAATCAAACTAAGACTTTAAGGAAACACATAGGTCCTAGACTAGAATAGATTATGTTTTGTTTTTCTTTTATAAACAGGATGTTCCAGCATAAAGAGGTACCCTCTACTCTGTCCTTGTTCCTACCTTTGTAAAACTCACCGTTCTACTGTTTCCCAGTGGGTTTCAAGACCAAATAAGTACATTTACAATGATGATCATGACATCAACGACTAAAGTTATGGTCAATCTGGCAAAATTCAGAAAATGACCAAAAAGGGGGAAATGTTAAAGCAAACTAAATATGGCTTGAGAAGGACTCTGTACTTTTACATTTGAGTCCTTGTAGATGAACTGAAGCCAAACTTAATAGATAGACAAGTTTGAAACCCTAACTTAGGAGTATGTGCCTGTAACAATAGCTGAGACTTAGCCAATCCCAGAAGCCATACTTCAACCAGTCATACACTGCTGAGTGTTCAAACTGTGTTCAAATAAGGTAAATGCCAACCTGTAACCAATCCAGCTGTTTCTGTACCTCATCTCTTATTTCTGTACATCACGTCCCTCTTTTTGTCTGTAAATTTGTTCTGACCACTAGGCATCCCTGGAGTCTCTCTGAATCTGCTGTGATTCTGGGGACTTCCAAGTTATTGAATCTTACATTGCTCAAATAAACTCCTTTAAATTTAATTCAGCTAACGTTTTTCTTTTAACACAGAAAATACTGAAATAACTAATTCTTCAATACAAAGACATAAATACATCTACAAGAAACAAGAGCAAATAGAGAGCTATGAAGTCTCTAAATAGACAAAGCAAGAAACCATTGACCAATCTTAATGAAAGAATTATATGTAAATCATCTGATGGAGAATTTAGAATAGAAATTTTTAGGAAACTTAAAGGTATTTTTATCAAATAGACATCTTTTCCTGTGATAATGAAAAACAAAGATGCCCACTTTCACCACTTTTAGTCAACATAATAATGAAATCCCTGGCCAGTGCCACTGGATAAGAAAAAAAAAATTAGTGATTGATAATATAATACAGAAAAGCAATTCAGAAGTTTATCAGAGAAGATTTACAAAGACATTAAAATAATTTGTAAAAATGAATCAGATATCTTGGGAACTAAGAAATACATTGGCTAAACTGTAAAGTTTATTAGAGGCAATCACCAGCAGAAGGAATCAAGCAGATGAAAGAACCAGTGATCTAGAAGATAGGCTATTAGAAAATACACAGTTAAAGGAGAAAAAAGAAAAAAAATGAAAGAAATGAAGATTTGCTGAAAAGATATAGAAAATTACCTCAACAGACCAAATCTAAGAATTATCAGTGTCCAAGAGATAATTAGTATAGAGAAAGGAGAAACCTTATTCAAAAAAATAAAATATTAAAAGCCATCCCATTTGGAAAGGAGGAAGTCAAATTTGCCTTGTTCACAGATGACATGATCTTATGCTTAGAAAAAATTAAGACCACCAAAAATGTGTTAGCACTGATAAATTCCATAGAGTTGTAGGACACAAAATCAACATACAAGGATCATGAGCATTTATAAATGCCAAGAGAGAATAATCTGAAAAATAAATCAAGAAAGCAATCCTATTTACAATAGCTACAATAAAATATAAAATACCTTGGAATCAATTTAATCAAAGAAGTTAAAAATCTATATAAAGAAACCTATAAAACATTGATGAAACAAATTGAGGACACCTAAAAATGGAAAGATATTCCATTCTTCATGGATTGCAACATTTAATATTGTTGAAATGGCATTACTACCCACATCATTTTTCAGATTCAATGAAATTGCTATCAAAATATCAATGATATTATTCACAGAGATTGAAAAAATATTCAGCTTATATGGAAACACAAATGACTAAATAGCCTAAGCAATCCTGAGGGGTGGAAAAAAAACCCAACAAAGCTAGAGGCATCACACTACCAAACTTCAAAATATATTACAAAGCTATGGTAACCAAATTAACATGGTATTGGCAAAAGCAAGCAAACAAACAAACAAAAAAGGGAGCAGACAAATGAAACAGAATACATAACCTACATATAAATCTATACATTTACACAGCCAATTTTTTTTTACAATGGTGCCAAGAATGTACAACGAGTAAAGGACAGTCTCTTCAATAAGTAGTGCTGGTAAAACTGGATAACCATATGCAGAAAAAAAAAATGAAACTAGACCTCCTTCACCATAGTAAAATATCAATTCAAAATAAGGACCAATATGTAGGATCCAAACCTATAAAATTTCTAGAAGAAAATGTAGAGAAAACACTTCAGAACATTGTTCTAGGTCACTATTTTATAGGTAAGACCACAAAAGCATAGGCAACACAAACAAAAATAGACAAATTGGACTATATTAAACTAAAAAGCTTCTGAAAAGCTAAGAAAACAATCAACAAAGTCTAGAGACAACACACAGAATGACAGAAAGTATTTGCAAACTATGTCTGACAAGTTATTAATACCCAGAATATAAGAAGCTCAAATAAATTAATAGAAAAATATTCTGATTTTAAAATGGGCAAAAGATTGAATACACATTTCTCAAAGGAGGCATACAAATGACCTACAAGTACACAAAAAATGTTACACATTATTAATATTCAGATAAATGGAAATCAAAACCACAATGAAATATCATATCACTCAGGTAAGATGGCTTCTTTATAAAAGACAGGGAATTGATGCTGGGTGGGATGTGGAAAAGGTGAATTCTCCTACACCATTGGTGGGAATATAAATTAGTACAGCAAGAATGTAAAACTGTATGGGGGTTTCTCAAAGAAATAAAAATAGAAAAGCCATGTAACCCAGGAATTTTATTACTGGGAATATGCTCAATCTAGGGAAAATTAATGTACCAAAGACACATCTGCAAACCCATGTTTATTGAACATTTTTGGCTATTCACAATAGCCAAAATATGGAATCTAAGTGCCCAATAAAAGATGAAAAAACTTCATCAACACACAGTGAAATATTATTTATCTATACACAAGAATAAAATGTTGTCATTCGTCACGACATGGATAGAACTGGAGGTTATTACATCAAGTGAAAAAAGCCAGGCAAAGAAAGATATATATCACATATTGTCACCCACATATGGGAGCTAAAAAAGTGGATCTCATGAAAATAGTGAGTAAATGATTGGTTACCAGAGGCTAGGAAGAGTAGGGTGGAGGGGGGATGAGAGAGATTGATTAATGTGTACTATTATACCATTTTATAAAAGAAAGAAGACTTAGTGTTTGATAGATCAGTAGGTTCACTATAGTTTATAATAATCTATTTTATATTTCAAAATAGCTGGATGAGAATAATTTGAATGTCTGTAACTTAAGGACAAACATTTAATATCCATACCTATTAAACATATTTGGCCTTCACAAAGTATATGAATGTATTTAACTATCATGTTTCCCAAAAATATGTGCATCTATTATCTATCAAGAAAAGTAAAATTTAAAAAGAAAAAATAATAAATTAAAAACAATGTTAGAAGAAGACAGGAAATAGTAAATATCAGAGAGAAATTCAATGAAATTGAAAATATAAAAATAATAGAGGAAATAAGTTAAATAAAAACCACAGTCTGTAAATCAATACAATTGATGAACCTCTGGTGATAGTCATCAGAAAAAAGTGAGAAAACAAAAATCATCTATATCAATGATATGGTTTGGCTGTGTCCCCACTCAAATCCCATCCTGAATTGTTTTTCTCCTAAGTCTTATGTGTCATGGGAGGGACCTCCATGCTGTTCTCATGATAGTGGGTTCTCATGAGATCTAATACTTCCTGCCCCCACCCCCACTTCACTCTGCACTTCTCCTTGCTGTGGCCATGTGAAGAAGGATGTGTTTGCTTCCCCTTTTTCCATGATTGTAATTTTCCTGAGGCCTCCCCAGCCATGCTGAACTGTGAGTCAATGAAACCTCTTTCTTTTATAAATTACCCAGTCTTGTGTGTGTATTTATTAGCAGTGTAAGAACAGACATATGCAATCAAACATGAGATAACATTTCTACATTTCCTGTATATAATTTAATGCATAAACATGTCAAAATTGCACTTGCTGTCAATGAATTATCCACCATTGATTAAATGAACATGTTTGTTGAAACAAACATACTATTGAAGCTCATTCCACCTGAGGAAACAGATACCGTTACTAACCCATTAGCTGTTAAAATTGTTGGATTTTTAGTTAAAACTTTGCCATAATAAAAACTCCATTTTCAGAAGACTCAATGCTGAATTCTACTAAAAATTTAAAAAATAAATAAGAGGAATTTTATCTAAAACCTTTCATAAAATTAACAAGCATAGAATAATTTCCAGTTTATTCTAGGAGGCCAATACAATCCCAATACTGAAAATAAAGAAAAATATAACATAAAAAGAAAACTTCAGACGAATATTTCTCATGAATATAAATGTAACTATTCTAAAATAATATTTAGCAAGCAAAATCTAACCAGGTATAAAACTGAAAACAACTCAAAGTCCATCAACACCTGAGTAGATACACAACCTGTAGTGTATCCATGCAGTAAAATACTACTTAACATTAAAAAGAAATGCACATTAATACACAATACAAAATGGGTTAAATTTAAAATAATTATGCTAATTGAAAAAGACCAAATAAAAATATAATACACATTGAGTGATTCCATGAATACACATTTCTAAAATATGCAAATTAAGGAAAACAGATAGTTGCCTCTGGTGTGTAGAGTAGGGATTATGAAGCATGGTAGAGAGTGGTGGTTTGACGAGATAACAAAGGAAACCTATAGGTAGGATGAATATTTTTATTTTCTTGATTATAGTTCTATGGCTTCATTATGGCTTAACAACAACTCAAAGCACATAATTAAATATTGTAAATATTTTAAATATATTTTTATTATTCTTCTATAAATCTCTTTTTTTATCCATTAAAAAGATCTGGTAAAAGTCATGATGTCTCTCAAAGTGAAGAACAAAGTCTACAAACAACTGTAACAATTATGTTATGAGATAATACTAAATGTTTAGAGAAATGTCTAAAATAGATCCTGTAATTTTAAAATATGGGTCTTGCAATGCTAATTTAAGGTTTTTCATGATCTTGCGAATATCTATTAGTAGCTTCTAAATACAACTCGACTAAAATTTTACCATTTTTAAGTAATTGGCTCATTATGTAAAGAGATTGTGACAGTTATTTGGGGAAAGATATTTCTCTCAGGACACCATAAAGAAAGAAGGAGTTATCCATACACTAATCTAGATCAGAGGAGATGCACTGAGAAAACAAAACAAAACAAAACGAAACAAAACAAAAACACAGCATTAAGCAAAATTTTATAGCTCTGTGATAAAACTAAGCATTTTTTTTCTGAAGAATTGTAAGTTTGAACTTCTTATTGCTTCTATATGATTAGAGTCATAGAGCTTTTAGCGAACCTCTGGGAAATAGACATTACTTTCCCTATAATCTGCCAAAAACATCTCTCTACAAATGTTCTTTCAAATTATGTCAGTGTAACAGAAACGAACGATGTGCTATATTTTCCAGAAAAGGAAATGGCACTAGAAAAAGAATATTTAAGAGAATACAATGAGTCAAGGCCAAGACGAAAATGTAAATTTTAACAAAGATCAAAGAGAGATGTAATGGAGGCCTGAATTAAGCTAGCTGACTAGGAATCAAAAGATCTGATAAATTTGAAGATAGACTGTTAACCAAATGGGATAAATATAATTTTGTTACCCGGGACTAACAAATTTAGACTTTGTGTGTTTAAATTTTCTATGTACCTCATGACACATGAATAAATAGGTTGAATTTTCATTTTGTCCTATGATGACATGCGTCTCTCAAAGCTCTTAAAGTGCCATTTGGTTCACATTATTATTGTTCCATTTCTACACAGGTCATAAAAAGAATATCCTTACTATTTCTAGCATCTGAAAAAAATTAGAGAATATGTATGTGCCACACTTGTTGGTTATCTGTTACTATAAACATGGCTAAGGAAAAAAGTCTTTGGCTTACGTATGTCTGCACACTGAAACATACACAACTTTACCATTAATTATAAATAGTTTAAAATATTAGCTCACTTAAATCATAGCAATGGCTATCAAGTACATATTAGTATTAAATATATTTTGGAGATGAGATATCAAGTCGCAGGTGAAAACATCTGTAAGAAGACCCAGGTCACATGCAGCCTCTCCACACCATAGTGAATGCATAATTCGAGATAACAAGTCCAAAAGTAGCATTCTAAAAAGAGTATTCCGAAAGGAGCATTCTAATTAGATGTTTGCTTTTTAGCTGTGATTGAATATAGTAAAGCCCTGGTGAAAACAATACATAAATTTGCATATCAAGTATGTTTTATAACTTTTCAAATTGTTGTTAAAGAATTTACATTTAGCTGTTTCCATAGTGTCTTTTCTTTATTTTCTTAAGAGAGAATCACATGTTCATTTCAGTCATAGAAAAAGCAGAACTTTAATAATGGGGATAACATTTTGTAGGTTGCCTGTTCATTCTGATGGTAGTTTCTTTTGCTGTGCAGAAGCTCTTTAGTTTAATTAGATCCCATTTGTCAATTTTGTCTTTTGTTGCCATTGCTTTTGGTGTTTTAGACATGAAGTCCTTGCCCATGCCTATGTCCTGAATGGTAATACCTAGGTTTTCTTCTAGGGTTTTTATGGTTTTAGGTCTAACGTTTAAGTCTTTAATCCATCTTGAATTGATTTTTGTATAAAGTGTAAGGAAGGGATCCAGTTTCAGCTTTCTACATATGGCTAGCCAGTTTTCCCAGCACCATTTATTAAATAGGGAATCCTTTCCCCATTGCTTGTTTTTCTACAAAATGGGAGAAAATTTTCGCAACCTACTCATTTGACAAAGGGCTAATATCCAGAACCTACAATGAACGCAAACAAATTTACAAGAAAAAAACAACCCCATCAAAAAGTGGGCAAAGGACATGAACAGACACTTCTCAAAAGAAGACATTTATGCAGCCAAAAAACACATGAAAAAATGCTCATCATCATTGGCCATCAGAGAAATGCAAATCAAAACCACAATGAGATACCATCTCACACCAGTTAGAATGGCAATCATTAAAAAGTCAGGAAACAACAGGTGCTGGAGAGGATGTGGAGAAATAGGAACACTTTGACACTGTTGGTGGGACTGTAAACTAGTTCAACCATTGTGGAAGTCAGTGTGGCAATTCCTCAGGGATCTAGAACTGGAAATACCATTTGACCCAGCCATCCCATTACTGGGTATATACCCAAAGGACTATAAATCATGCTGCTATAAAGACACATGCACACGTATGTTTATTGCAGCATTATTCACAACAGCAAAGACTTGGAACCAACCCAAATGCCCAACAATGATAGAATGGATTAAGAAAATGTGGCACATATACACCATGGAATACTATGCAGCCATAAAAAAGGGTGAGTTCATGTCCTTTGTAGGGACATGGATGAAATTGGAAAACATCATTCTCAGTAAACTATCGCAAGAACAAAAAACCAAACATCGCATATTCTCACTCGTAGGTGGGAATTGAACAATGAGAACACATGGACACAGGAAGGGGAACATCACACTCTGGGGACTGTGGTGGGATGGTGGGAGGGGGGAGGGATAGCATTGGGAGATATACCTAATGCTAGATGACGAGTTGGTGGGTGCAGCACACCAGCATGGCACATGTGTACATATGTAACTAACCTGCACAATGTGCACATGTACCCTAAAACTTAAAGTATAATAATAATTAAAAAAAACAAAAAAAAAAACACTTTGAACCTTAAAAAAATAATAATAATAATGGGGATAACAGTGAGGTCCATTATATTATAGTTGTGTGAATACTATCTACTTTTGTCTAAATCATCAACTTTCAGGTTATCTTTTTTAGAAGTGACAATCTATAGAAGAAATGCTCGTGTACAATTTGAGACCAAACTGTAATATTTGTGAATTTTTTTGTAATCTTGGGATAATGTCTAAAGTTCTTAGCAAGGTCCATAAAGCCATGTACAAAATGACACTGGATAATTAATGTCTTGCTTTCTTCTCTCATACATTTGAGGATAATATTAAATAAATATTCTGCTGAATGTCAATAAAGCTAATGTAAGAAATCAAAAGTGATCACAGTGTTTTGTAATGCAGTTGTTAATGCCAAACAGATAATGGCCATTTTAGTGTAGTGCTGAAACAGAATAGCATAGGTTAGGAAGATATCATGAAGCAAATAACTAGAAATACAAATATTTGCTTTAAAAGGGGTCATTAGCTAAAGAGAGATATACATTCAAAGAAAATTTTATATTTTCAGTTAAGATATGCAAATATATTTTGATTAGTCTATCTGTTAACTGTATTCGTTTGCTGATTCAACAATATTTGTTACCACATGCTCTATGCCAAATCCTGTCCATGCCTTTATGGATCTTCATGTGCCTTGTTAATAATTATTCACTTTGTTTAAAGGATGGCTTTAAATCATTTTTATTGCTGAGATAGGGAGAGCTGGAGGATAAACAATTTGGGGGAAGTAGATAAAAAATTCAGTTCATACATAGTAAATGTGAGGTGTTTGTGAGATATTTGAGTGTAGCTGTGAAATAGGTAGTTGTATGTATAATTAGAGATAACAAGAGCTGAAATAGAAATATAAATGTGGAAAATTTTGCCATAACTGGTGCACTATATCTACTTATTTCATTAACTGATTTATTAGTTATATAATTAGTAATATCTAACACGTATCTAATACTAATTCATGAACTCTTTTATGCTTACTAATTCATATCTTTCACATTGGCAATATAAGTGCATCCATTTTGAAATATCTGCCTATGTCATTTATTTTTTTACGAACCCATTATACAACATTTTGCAAAGGGCACTGAATGAAGCAAAAGTGTAAAGATTTGCGTGAAACAGATACCCATTTTCCTCCGTCATGTCTCTGCTTGAGTTCAGTCTCACATGTTGTATCTGAACTTCATTTTAGACCCTTACTCCTTTTCTTTACCTTAAGTCACTCAGTGCTAAGGAAAGTTATTGCTAACACTGAGATATTTTTTAAGAGCAAACGTAGATACTATTTATAATAATGCAGGAAAGCAGAACAAAAGAAAACAGTCTCTTTCCTTAACACTCATATTCATCATTCCCCATGTGCTCTGTCTACATCAACTTCCAAACCTACAAGAGGAAACCATTGTCTACTCCAGAGAATGAAGGACATGTCCTTAAGGCAATAAATTTCAACTTATATTCTCAATCAAAATTCTTAGCATTTTACCATACACTACACTATTTTCTAGTCCTAATAAACATATAATTTTATAATATATTGCCTTTTGCATTTATTTTTCAATGACTAAATAGTACTTGTTTTTGATTCTCCATGTCTAGTACATTTTCTTACTCAATTACCTAATATTGAATAAATTTAATGGATTAATTATTGATCTGGAAATACATGGATATATGTAAAAATAACTAGAACACGTGACAATAAAACTTAGTTATATCTGTTTAAATGAAGCTGTCAATAACATTTAAAACCATAATTTAGTGTATTTTTAGAAATAAGTACAATTATTTATAATTTTATTAAAAGAGAAAATAGTAATGATCTTTTGTAAATATTTGGATAACAGTAGTTAAATCTATTTTCTAGTCATACAATGGTCATGGAATTACACAGAAAAGGAAAGTGAGTAAGGAGATTTTAAACTCTTCCTAAGATTAAGATTAATATGCTTAATATCACTTATAATATTATTTATATTATTATTTATATTACAAATAATACAGCTATATTGGTATAATGAAACTATAATATTTTATTATAAAACAATTTATAATAAAATATTAATATTTATCAATAACATTAATTTTTTAAAGAATAAGATTAAATCTCTGTGCCTATGTATTAATGCTTCCAAAATTTAAAGATTATATGCCAAAATATTTGTGTTAAATGGATATTTGTTGAAATCTTAAGTTATTTTGCCAAAATATTTTAATGTTATGCTGAATTCTTAAAACTTGCCTAAAAATAGAAAAATGTAATTCTATACCATAACTGATTATTCTCCAATTCATATTAAACTGTGAAACTATGTATTTGAGACACATATTCAGCATTTTTCAGGGTTAACCATATGTATATTTAAAATTTACTGAAATTAAGAACCAGACAGCACAAAATTATGTGGGACATATATCCATCATTAAATAAAACTAATGTTCTATATCAATAATATTTTCCAAATGTGCCTTAAATATCTCTCCTTACATTATTTTTCATTAAATCATAAATGTAAAGATAATACTTACTAAGAACCAACATAAAGCCTATTTTCTTGAAAAACAATTACATGCATTGGAATTAATCTTCAGAAAAAATTAAATTGAAAACTAATCGTTAATATTCACTCAGCTTATTTGCCATTGGGTAGAACTATAATATCACTGGCTTCTTAAAAATTGTATTTCCAACTAAAGTTGCAAACATAGACATTTCTCAATTAAAAAAAAGTTTCTTTTTATTTAAGGCTGTTAATATATTCTTACTTATCAATAAATTACTGATTGTATCTCATTTCATATACACACATACACCTACACACATATACACACAACACACGCATACATTTTTGGGGGAAGATTCTTTGTTTATAAGAAGATTTCATAATATCTTTCAAATTGCCAATGTAAGTGCATGTTTTTTAACATTAAAAGAGTTGTCAAAACAAATTACACAGAACCAAACATCAAAGCAGCAGTTCCAAAACAGCCTTAAATCATAAACCTAAAATATAGGTTTACAAAGCCTATATTTTAGGTTTATGATTAATATATAATTTGAGGAGTTTTTTTCCACATATGGGAAAAATAAATTTAAATCAAATGGTACAATTTTATAAGCAGGTAGTTATGAATTTTTACTGTAAACAAATTCTTTCAAAATAAGTAATCTACATTTTTATGCCACAATGACCAACTGATGCGAATTAAATTCATCCCAGTTTATAAACCATCTTCTCTGCTGATGGGAAAGTGATTTCTTATTAAAATCTTATAAACGCTGATAAAAAGCAACATAACATGGCATTAAGACAAAAGATGTAACATTTTCTTTATATGCTTAAATATGCAACATATCAGTATCTTGTTAGCAGAATAGTTTAGTCAAAGCCTGAAGAATAGAGACAAGCATACTTCCTCATTATGTTGTGTAATATAGTTTCTTTGCATTATAAAAATTAAATAGATGTTTTTCAAGTGCATATCTTCTTAATATATATTTGCACATTTATCTTCTCTTTTGAAAAACAGTGGCACCCTGGTCTTAAAATTAGTCTTACATGTAGAAAAGTGTTTTGAAATATTGTCTTTCAGATTCTCATTCACTCACAGGTCATACTTGCCACTGGGTAGAACTATAGTATCACTTGTTTGTGAAAAATTTTTGTTTTCGACCAATGTTACAAACGTAGACATTTCTAAATATAAAACAATTGTTTATTTTTTATTTAAGACTTAAAATATTACCTTCTTACTTATTAATAAATTAGTGATTATATCTTATTTCATATACACACAGATACCTACACACATATACACACAACACACACATACTTCTTCCTATGAATCCAAGTTAAGCTGCCTATGAAAGGCAGTAATTTCTATCCTCTTAGCAGTCATATATACTATAACACATTTCCAAACCTTTCAAAAGCAGGATTGTGTATGGGAAATTGGGAAGATTATGCCCATTTGAAGAAAACAAATCTGGAATTGAGTCATTCTTCTTATACTCTGTAATTATGTGCAGACACTTGGGAGACGGGTATAAATGTATAACTTTATACATTCTAAGTTTATACATTATAAATTTATACATAAGGGCCTTGCCTTATATGGATGGACTTAGGTGGGAAAGAAACTGTTCAAGTTTCTCAAATGATTTGGACGCACATTATCTGGCACAATAAATATTATTCCTTAATTTTCATTAGCATAGAATATTGGATTTCTATAAAATGGTCTCAGTGTTGAATCTTCCTCCTCTCTAGTAGAGCAGAAAAAAATTGGAAACAGATTATGTGCTTCGGTTCAATGGAAAGTCCTAAATCTGAGGGTGGAAGAGACATTCAGCACAACTCTCAGATTCAAAAAAGAAGTCACAAGAAAAATAGGATGGAGGCTGGGCATGGTGGCTCACGTCTATAATCCCAGCACTTTGGTAGTCTGAGGCTGGTGGATCACTTGAGTTCAGGAGTTTGAGACCAGCCTGGTCAACATGGTGAAATCCCATCTTTACAAAAAATACAAAAATTATCTGGGTGTGGTGGCAGGCGCCTGGAGTCCCAGTTATTCAGGAGGCTGTAGCAGGAGACTCTCTTGAACCCAGGAGGTGGAGGTTGCAGTTAGCCAAGACTGTGCCATTGCACTCCAACCTGGGTGACAAGAGCGAGACTCTGTCTCAAAAACGAAATATAAACAAAGAAAACTAGGATGGAGTATTGCTATAGACATTTGAAGTCTACGGTGCACTGAGAGTAACCTTATTAACCACAAACTCAAACCTAGTTAGACTGCTGTGTAGATTAACTGAAATCCCATTACAGCAGAAGGAAAGGAGTGTCCATTTCAAGCACATAAATTAGTTGAATAACTCTCTACTGTCTGATAGAAGATATTCAGATTCCAACAAAAATTTATCAAGCATACATAAAGGCAGGAAAATCAACATTGTGAAAAGATAAAGCAATCAACTGAACCAGACTCACATATGGCACAGATGTTGAAATCTGTGACAGAGAATTGAAGGTAAGTATGGTTAATATGTTAATGGTTCTAATGGAAAATATACTATATCAGATACATAATTTTAGCAGAGCTATAAAGAATAAAAGCAAATGTTAAGAGGAAATACTAGAAATATGAAACAATAATAGAGATGAAGAATGTTTTCCCTGAAATTATTAGTTGGCTTAACACAGATGAGCAGAAAGTTTGTAAATGTGAAGACATCAACAAAACTAACCATATTGATACAAAAACAGAAAAAAATGAGTTAAAAAAAGTGTACAACATTCAAAATATGTGGGACAATATCAAATGCTCTAACACACTTGTAATACTAAAAGAAGAAGAAGAAGAAAAAAACAGGTTAAATGAAATGTTTGAATGTTATACACATTAACAAAATGAAGAATGACAATGACATGATCATCTCAATAGGTGTAGAAAAAGCTATGACAAAATTTATTATCCTTTTATGATAAAATATTTAAACAAATTAGGTATAGAAAGTATGTACCTCAAAATAACAAAGGCTTTGTATAACAAGCACACAGCTAACGTCACACTCAGTGGTAGAAAACTGATAGCTTTTCCTCTATTATTACAAACAAGGCAAGGATGCCCACTCTCATCACTTCTATTCAACACAGTACTGGAAGTACTAACTAGAATAATTAGGCAATAAATAAATAAATAAATGGCATCCAAATAGGAAAGGAAGAAGTAAAATTATCTCCTTTTATAGATGGCATGATGTTATACATACAAAAGATGTCACAAAAAATAAAAAATCCTGTTACAACTGATAACCAAATTCAGTAAAGTTGCAAGATACGAAATCTTTATATAAAAATCAGCTATATTTATATATGCCAAGAATGAACTAACTCAAAAGAAAATTTAGAAATTAAGAAAATATTATCATTCATGATAGCATCAAAAATAATAAAATACTTACAACAACCTCAGAGGAGGCAAAAGACTTTTACACTGAAAACCATGAAACATTGCTGAAAATAATTAAACAAAACACATATAAATGGAAAGATATCCTATGTTCTTGGATTGGAAGACAATGTTGTTAAAGTATCTATACTGCTCAAAGTCATCTACAGATTCAATGCAAGTTCTACCGAAATCCCAATGGTATTCTTCACAGAAGTAGTAGAAAAATGCTACAATTCATATGGAACTATAAAAGACCCAAAACAGCCAAAGAAATCTTTAGCAAAAAGAACAAAGCTGGAAGCATCTTACTATCTGATTTCAATATATATTGCAAAACTACAGTAATCCAAACAGTATAGAACAGCATAAAATCAGACATATAGACCAACAGAACAGAATAGAAAGGCCTGGAATTAAATCCACACATTTAGAGCCAACCAGTCTTTGACAAGGTGTCAAGAACACACAATAATTAAAAGACAATCTTCAATAAATGTTGGAGGGAAAACTGGATAGTCCCACCACCATGCAGAAGAATGAAAATGAATCGTCATCTCTAACTAAGTACAAAAATAAATTCAAAGTAAATTAAAAACTTAAATGTAAGACCTGAACATGTAAAACGATTAAGAGAAAATGGGGTGAAATCTCCATGACATTTGTCTTGACAATGATTTATTAGACACTAAAAACACAGGCCGCAAAAACAAAAACAAATGAAACATCAAACTAAAAATCTTCTACACAGCAAAGGAAATACCAGTGAATGAAAAGGCAACTAATGGAATGGGAAAATATATTTATAAACTATATATCTAATGAGGGATTAGGGGTATCCAAAAAATAAAATAAATTCCTGGAACTCAATATTAAAAATCCAAATAATCCAATTAAAGCAATGGGCAAAGGGCTCGAAAAGTCACTTCTTCAAATAAACATGAAAATGCAAACCAGGTATATGAAAGGATGCTGAACATTTTATTCATCAGGGAAATACAAATAAAAACCACAATGAAATTATTAACTCACATCTGCTTGGATGGCCATTATCAAATAATTAGAAAATAACAAGTGTTAGTGATGATGTGGGGATACCAGAGACCTTGTACGCTGTTAGTAGGAATGTAAAATAGAGTAGTCATTAAAGAGGATAAACCCATGAAACAACCAAAAGTGCTTATATTGAGCACTGATATTGCTGAGATGATGTTTCATTTTATACTGTTTAAACATATATTACTTATTCAATAAATTGTATAAATATATTTTCATTATTGAGGTAAAGATAAATTAAAAAGCAGGTTTTTTGTTTTCCTATTTCCAAACTTTTTTTCATTTAGTCTAAATTTTACCTCATCAATGTTTATCAGTTTTATGAGTAGAAACTTCCTATTTATACATATTTCTAGTAGTTCTCTGAAAGTAATTTTTTACCTAAAAGCTCATCATAGTAAAATATAGAATTGTTTCATAATGTTTTAGAAGGGTAGAAATAAAAATAAAAGGGAATGCCTGCTTATCATTCTGACTTATAGGTGAAGTAAAACAGCTTTCAATAAATTTTTTTTAAATCGTAGATTAAAATGAATTTTTTGGTATAAAATGAGGCACTGAAAAAATAAGGACAAGTAAATAAGGTTGTACTCAAGAAATACATGAGGAGAAGAGCCTTGACATGTGTGAACTTATTTCTTAATTTCCTTGCTGTTCTCATCAGAACACACTGGAAGACAACTGCTCATAGTATCATTGCAGATTTCATAATGAAGGATGCTGAGTAAGCCCCCCAGGCCTTTAACTGTAGCTCTATATGGTATAATTGGCTTAAAGGATGAGTAGAGCTGTGCTAAAAATGTTTGTCTGTTGATTGTACATAACTATTTTCTTAACGGTGGAAATGCACTTTAGTAACAAGAGAAACACGATGCCATTTTTATTAAGAAAATTAATTATTAATTTAAAAATAAAATTATTAATTGATAAAGACAAGAAGGGTTTGCTGGCCAGTAGGGAATTGTAGGCAAATCAATTTTTATGGATTCCAAGTGAACTTTTTGGTACTGGATATGGCTGAAAATTACTAATTATAATTGTACAGATACACATTAATACTAAATGTTTTAAAATAAAAATGATCTCAAAATGTAGGCTCTTTCCTGAAAATACCTAAATGCTTCATGATGCAAAATCTAAAGTGCTTTTTTTAAATTAAGCAGCACGTCAAATAACAATACAATTTTTGATTTTCTTTCATAAAAGGTAAGATTAAATCATCAAAACCAGACTTTGTTATGTAATAGGATAACAATTGCTTTATACAGAAAGGAACATATGTATATTGATGCTCCCTCTTCAGGCTTCGGATTTCAATGGAAATACACTGCTCCACCAATATCACCAGAAGAGCCTTTCAGAGATCACTCTTGCCAGCCTGATGATGCAGTGGAAGGTGAAAAGTCATGTCACAGAACATGAAATACCTTGGCAGTGCTAAACTAATCCACTTCTAGATTCACAGCTGCCAGGCACTTTGGTGAAATTTCTTTTTAAATTCTAATAATAAAGCAAAAAAAAAAAAAAAAGACTTTTAGAATCTGTATCATGTTCTAACATGTTTTACAAATTTGCATGTAAGAGCTAGGACTTAATTTTGGTAAGTTAGTTGAAAAGCTCAAAAGTACTTTCATGGTAAATTTTCACTGAAATAAATAATCACAACCCCCCATGAAGAAAACATAGTTTTATATATTAGAATATTCAAAATACAATTTATTAAAGAATCATCATGCAATTAGAAAGGCTAGACTAAATTAAGATATATTGCATTGCATTCCCATTTTGGATAAGCTAATAAAACTGCTCCAAATGATGTAATATTCACGTCTTTGAATTGAATTAAGTGTTTCTGGCAAGCTAAAGAAATTTGAAGAAGTGCAGTCTTATCTCTCTTAGTAACAAAAAAGTCTCAGTTCCATAAATTGAACAAATATGTGTATGCTTTTTACATTAGTGAAGACTTAACACACACAGGTAAAAAGTCTCCAAAAACCCTGCTGCAGGAATTAATAGTTTGTGAGAAAAATAAGTGTCTGGAGAATATAGTAATCTTCAGCTTTATGAAAAATGTACATTTTCTCCTTGAATATTGTTGTCAAAATTGACTGCTTTGATAATTCATAATTCAAAGCAGCAATATTTTAAAGTCTGGGTTAAATTTGAAGAGATTTCCCTTCTAATGACAGAATTAATCTAGGGCAAAATTTCAAACTTATAGATCTTACAAGGCCTTGTGGTTTTCTTCATTTCTGTCTGGCTATTTTTAGTTGATCCAGTTTAACCATTTTCTTGATACCTAAGGGCTAGGATGCATTCATGGCAGGTTTAATGCACCATTAAACCAGGACTGCCTTCTCTAATCAGCACTAGATATTCAAGCCTCGATTGTATTTTTATCCTACCCAATTTAAATTTTGTAAATTCCTTTTCCTCAGATCCCCGTTTTCCATTATCACAGGAACAGCTCCCTATTTGGTAAGAGTACCTTCCATCTTGCAGGCAGTACAATCTGGATCATACTTGAGTACTCATGTGCTTACAACTTACCATTCAAGACAGCACAAGATTCTGTTTATAGAAGTCTTCATAAATGTTATTAGAAGTTAATTGAATCCAAGATGTTAAAGAAACAAAGAAGCTTAATGTGTTTTTCTCAGTTTGTACATCTGTTTTGTCTAGGATAAAGAAAGGCACTTGACCTGGACTTGGAGAAATTCTGAGACAGTTGCAGCAGGTGGAAGAAATAGCTGGTATATGAGAGGAAAACAAAATAGAAATAATCAAGGTCAGCATACTACCTTTTTATGACCCTTCCTTTATAATTCCCTCTAGGCTTTTTTTTCTTTTAAAATATTATCCTGTCTGATATGTCCACCTACTCATCTGCAATTTCTGATATGGAAGCTCCAGATTCTAGTTTACATCTATATGACAATCACTGTCGAAATAAAAGAAAATCCACAAAACTCTTTGCACCAACTAGTTGGGAGTTGAGAATGTTCATAAATTTATTGTAAAAATAATAATCTATGTACAAATATTATCAAGTACTTGGTGAGTTATGCATGTTACTGATAATGAGAACATTTGGAACATATTAGAAAATATTAATTTTATTATGTCATTCTCTTAATGCAGATTATCAGTGCAGATTATCAGAAAGTTTATAGCTGAAGGTCTTACATGCAAGGCAATGAGAACAAAGAAAGAAACAGAGAAGGTTTCTTGTACCTAAATTATTTTCAATCTTGAGTTGCAGCCAAGAATTTTGATTTTGTAAGCAATCACCTCACCAGCTGTCGTGATATACCGCTGCCATGCCCTTGCTATTCCTTTTCTCAGCAGTGCAAGTGCTCACATGTAAATAATAGATAGGGTACTTTAAGACATGGGGTAAATTGAACAGGTTTATTTGGCACTGAGAAAACATCTGCCGTATAAAATCAAAATTAATGGCCATGATGAGTTTCCTGCACTAACTTACTGCCATCCATTTAAAAATATCCATTGGTCTAAATGAGGCTAATATAACACATAGAGACACACACTTTCATTAGAACTTGAGCCCTCAACTCTCAGGGTCAGAACGCTGTGACACTGAACTCCAAAGCAATTGCGTTTCTCATCAGTTTCTGATATCTAGAAGTAAGGTAGGGCTAAATAAAAATAGCATCAGAATGAGTGCACTAGTCTTCCCCAAAGTCTTTGCAGTGATTCTCTGAGAACCACTGATGTGAGTTCTGAGTTAGATCAAGCCTCTCTTTTTGATGTCTAACTATTCTCCATCACACTGCATGTATTCTTGAATGATGGAACATTTCAGGCCATTGATATTAAAACAACAAACAGCACCAAGTCACATTTAAAAGGAAACTTGAAGACTCATTGTAAAATTTTTAACTATATTCAAAATGAAATTCAAGCTTTATAAAAAATGCTGAACATTTTTATTAGCGGCACAATACTTTTATTAAAAACAATATAGTGTGAGCTTGAAAGAGTGTTTAGTGTGTAAAACCTTAAGGTATAAGAAATATATATATCTCACTGAACTTTAAACATTACAACTTCTGGCTCATGTATATACTAAATGTAATGAGTCAGACCATGAGGGCTTGCCATTTGCTTTTCTACACGTGGGAAATATAACCCATATCCAAGACTGTTATCATATTTATGAAAATATGATATTCTCATTGTTGTTGCTAACTGCTACATAATTTTTTTTGTAAAATTCTTATAAAATGGTGTCTTAACTCTCTGAAAAGTCTGGATTATGAAGACATGCTTTTAGAATTTTACAATTTTTTTATAAAAATAAATTTTCAAATTTGTCTTCAAAAAATAACCACATAAAAGAAAATAAATTAAAAAGTGGATTATAAAAATAAAGATGAAATATAAAGAAACAATGGAAAAATGCAGGTCCTATGTTCAATTTTTAAGGAATATAATTCAGTAAGTCTATGCAGAGTACAGGTTTCTTAAATTCAAAAATTATGTAAGAAAATATTTATAAGTCTTATGTGATTCCAATGTGTCCCCTACAAGATTACGTCTGTTACTTTTCTGCTTAACTGCTTATCAGCTAATTACATAATTTGCCTCCCTGCTTAGTAAATTAAAATCCCAATTCTCCTTCTTATAGTGCATTCACTCCAGATGAGTCAACATCTGTACAGAAAGGATAGCGACCATTCAGCAAGGATGCTCCTGTTTCCTAGAGTGAAAGCCTGAAAATGTCAGCAGGACTTAACACAAAGAGGCTGTAGAGGTGAAAACAAGCCAAAGTTTTTAACCAAATGTGCTGCAGGTAAAACACAGTCTCTATTAAATCAATAACTATGTTTTATATCATTTTAAAAAGTTTATTTTAGTCATGCACATAATTTTACTCTCCTTCTCACCTGGAGAGTACTTCATCTTTGTATGGTATTTGTCATTTTTTTTAAATTATACTTTAAGTTCTAGGACACATGTGCAGAACTTGCAGGTTTGTTACACAGGTATACACGTGCCATGGTGGTTTGCTGCACCCATCAACCCATCATCTACGTTAGGTATTTCTCCTAACTCTACCACTCCCCTAGCCTCCCACCCCCTAATAGGCCCCAATGTGTGATGTTCTCCTCCTTGTGCCCATAATGCTCTCATTGTTCAACTCCCACTTATGAGTGAGCACATGTGATGTTTGATTTTCTGTTCCTGTGTTAGTTTGCTGAGTATGATGGTTTCCAGCTTCATCCATGTCCCTGCAAAGGACATGATCTTACACTTTTTTATGGCTGAATAGTATTCCATGGTGTATATGTGCCAAATTTTCTTCATCCAGTCTATCATTGATGGACATTTGGGTTGGTTCCAATTCTTTGGTATTGTGAATAGCGCTGAAATAAACATATGTGTGCATGTGTCTTTATACTACAATGATTTATAATCCTTTGGGTATATACCCAGTAATGGGATTGCTGGAACAAATGGTATTTCTGATTCTAGATCCTTGAAGAATCGCCATACTGTCGTCCACAATGGTTGAACTAATTTATACTCCCACCAACAGCGTAAAAGCGTTCCTATTTCTCCACATCCTCTCCAGCATCTGTTGTTTCCTGACTTATAATTTGTCATTTTAAAAGACTTCTGCTATCTTGATAACTTGTGCCTTATAACACTCTGTGAAGTAGGAAGGGCCAGTATTAATATCTTTAATTGACATATGAAAAAGCTGAGGATTCCAGGAAACATTAGTCAGTGATACGGGGTGTCAAGGTATCTCTTTTTAAAATTCCCATGTAATGTTATTTGCACACTATAACACCACCTTAAACACTACAACTACATTTACATTTCTAAAACCCTGAGCCCTTTCATTACTCTGGCAACTGCACTCTGATTTCTGGAACTTTGAAGTAGAAGGGGGGAGTGTGAATTTTAAGGTAAGAGTTTGGGGATGAAGATCTAAGTGGGGCAGGACAGATTACAGAATGAAAAGGGAGAAGTACAGTCTCATTGTGGGAATACACAGCAAATGAGAGAGATGCAAAAGTAAACCTCGGCAATCAGTTTCTATATTTTACTCTCTTTTCTTCCAGCTGGATGCAAAACCCTGCCTGAGTAGCAGATTCTTTTTATTCTATTTTATTTTTTAGCCCTTCAGTCATCAGGTACAGAATCTTTCTCATTTTAAGACACTCAGACCCTCTACTCTCACATTTTCTTCCCCAAATTACTTAAAATCAACTTTTTCTTCTCGCTTGTCTCCTCATGTGTGCCTTCCTGAGGAATAAAAGACTGCTCCAAGCTGCTTCAGCTTCCTTTGAAAGTTTTCTTTCTTGCTTGTTTGCTTTTCCTCATCAGGAAGCATCCCCACATTCAAATACCAATTGTTCCCCTATCAGAGAGCCCTTTTTAGGGTGTTTTCAAGTAGGAAGCTGAGCAGCTCTGGCTTGTAGGATATTACTGTGGCTCTCCACCAGCAAAGAAGAGATGGAATTGCCCTACTGAGTTTTGGATGAGGCACTAGAAAGTGGTATAATGTGATAATGATTTAGTGATAGCTCTAATTATAGCACATCTCAGTCCAGCAAATGTGTATTGAACACAAAGCCATTTAGCAGGAAGTTGCAGGTGTCTCCAATGGGAGAAATAAAACTACGTATCACTATGCCTGTTAGTAATAGGTCATTGTTTTCCTGAATCATAAGTCTTTTCCATTTCTCTGTGAGTGTATGAAGAACTGCTAGCTCAAACTTGCTATTATTAACAGCAAATTTCCAAAAGCGAAAAGTGGAACTGTAAAAAGTTCATAGCGTTAGTGAGCATAGTAACTGACCTGCTCTTTAAACTTTAGTTAATAAAAAAAGGAAACAGGAAGTCATCTTTGAGTTTCTGAACAAAATAGAATCAAGACTATTATCATTATTGTTATTATTGTTTTAGAATCATAGAGGTTCCAGAGCTAGTTTTAGGCTAAAATTTAAGAAGTTGTTTAATTCTAATTTCTCTATAATTTCAATTATCATATAAGTTTCTTTAAGATGAGTATCTTTTCATTCTATTAAAAATATTATAAAGCATCCCTAAAAAAGTCAGAGATTAGAAGAATATTGCCCTAGTACACTAAATGTTAGAATCTGCATAATGGATCATTACGGAGATTACAAGGTCACTTAAAATATTTCTGGGTCTCCAAGAATGCAATTTTACTTATTAAATGTGTTAATATTCCCCCCAAGTCAGTCAGAACGTAGGTTTTACCAGATGTGGAAGCATAGAACAAAAGAATCATTGAGACAAATGTTGTCACACCCTGTTATAGCGCCATCCATGGAAAAAGAACTTTAAAACCGGCAGTCTTCCAGTGTCCTTTTGCCATCTGCAATTGTCTCCTGTTGTGGAGTGGATGAGGCTGCCTATCACAGTTTCATGCAATCAAATAATTAAATTAATCTCTATGTTTAACATTTATCTGTAATGGTATATTTAATTAACATGCAGTGCCCATGTTCTCAGCTGATATTCAATAAACATCTTCTGCTTATTATTCTAGTTTTTATGAGAGTTACATTGCTACACTTACTAAAATTATACCAGTCACTGGGGATTTAGGGCCAATCCTAAATCAGTATGACCTCAACATAATCACACTTGCAAAAGATCCTATTTCCAAATAAGTTCACATTTTGAGGAAACAGAAGGATATGAATTTTGAGGGATACAATTTAACTCACTGTTTCCTCTTTCCTAGATGTATTATTACTAGGGACATGATGCTTATTAGGGTTTAGAAGGTATTTACTATAATTTATTTCAAAAATAGAGAATATGTGGCATGTACAATATTCCAAGGGTCCCTCCTAAATGTCAAGAGATACATAGGTTGGAATTTATGACAGGTAAAGCTGATATAAATGATGGCTGTTAGTTGCATAGCAGCTTTCTCCTTCTGAAAAGCTAGACCATATCCTGACTTACTTTGGGGAACATATTGTACTAATTCCACTATTTGCTGGATGTCACCTAACTCAGAGAAACAGAATTTGTTAGAAAGGCAACAACGCATAAATATTTGGGCCAATAAAGATAGAGAATAAACAATAGTCCTAAAAACACCTATTCCCTCAAATGACAAGTTCAAATTTATTATAAAAACATATCTCACAAATGTGGCTCTGAAGTAAAATAAGATTAATTATCCAAAGTTCCAAAAATTGAAAGCAAACCATTCACATTTGTTCAAGAGAAACAATCTTTCATGCTGATGCGACAAAAATTTCTTTTTAAATTTTTTTAAATAATTTTTTTAAATTGACACAATTTTATCTATCATGTAAAAATGAAGTATACATATTTCAGGGAATTTTAAAATCTAACTAATTATATGCACTACCTCACATGGTTATATTTTTGTGGCAAGAACATTTAACATCTACTCTTAGCATTTTTCAAGGTTGCAATCATATATAAGACCAAAAATATATTTTGTGATTTTGTATACATACTTTTCAACATTATACTTCAAGCATGTATGAAATGAGCTTTATTGCACTGTTTCTTATAATAACCTAATATAATAAGATCAAATAGCCTCTGCTTCTCAGACATTTAATAGTCGTATGACCTTGAGCCAGTTTCTAAACTTCTTTAAGGCTCATTTTTCACTTCCATAATTGGGTTTCACAGATTTGTTTTGATGATCTAATAAGGTGGTGCTGTAAAAAATATAATATAGAGGTTGACCCTTGTGAAGTTATTGTTAAATGGTAGTTACTAATTTCATTAAAGCAAAATATATATTAACTTACAGTGTGCAATCTCAGTCTCCAAAATCATCATTATCTGTCTGAGGGGGTATTTTTATGGACTTAGTCACTTGAAACCCAATTAATATACAGAATATTTCAGGATACATTGAGGAAGAATGGTATTAAAAACTACTCTCAACAATCCCTGATTAAATATAGTGAACCCTTCTGCCACACAACTGGTAGACTTTTGCAGTAATAAAAAGTTTGAGTGTATCAGATGTCTTTTTATCTTTACCATACCAGATGAACACAAGAAAATACTGGTACGATGAATTAGTCTTTCTGAACTTAATGAAAATCACAAATCTGTAATGTAGTATTTCTTTAAACAAGATACAAACAATCTTTTAGATTACATTTTTCATTTATTTGTCTTAGTTTCCGAAGACAAGTTTATCTTATTTTATGTGGCAATTCCAAAACCTTCTGAGCTTCTTCCTTAAAAACAATTTGTCATGGTTGTTTCTATAATAATTACATCATTTAAATGTTGATTCTAACTAATTTTTGTAAGCTCTTGAATCACCTTATTATACCATGTCCTAACCGCAATTGATCAAGAATAAAGAATCAATTAAACTATGATGTGATAGATGTCACTCAGAGTTGTAAATTAATGTACTCACATTTGTAATTATGGCAGCAAATTTCTTCTTTCATTGTTTTCATATGTCAAAAATGTTTATGTTATATACTTTTACCATAATTAAACATTTATAAAAAGTAATTTTACCCAGTAATGGGATGGAATCATGCTGCTATAAAGACACATGCACACGTATGTTTATTGCGGCACTATTCACAATAGCAAAGACTTGGAACCAAGCCAAATGTCCAACAATGATAGACTGGATTAAGAAAATGTGGCACATATACACCATGGAATACTATGCAGCCATAAAAAATAATGAGTTCATGTCCTTTGGAGAGACATGGATGAAGCTGGAAACCATCATTCTTAGCAAACTATCGCAAGGACAAAAAATACAAACACCGCATGTTCTCACTCATATGTGGTAATTGAACAATGAGAACACATGGACACAGGAAGGGGAACGTCACACACCGGGGACTGTTGTGGGGTGGGAGGAGGCGGGAGGGATAGCATTAGGAGATATACCTAATGCTAAATGACGAGTTAATGGGTGCAGCACACCAACATGGCACATGTATACATATGTAACAAACCTGCACGTTGTGCACATGTACCCTAAAACTTAGAGTATAATAATAATAAAATTTTTTAAAAAGTAATTTTAATTGCTTATCTTTAGTAAATGTGTTTGTTTGCAAGTTTAAAATATGATTTGGAGAGAAAATAACATGTAACCTTCCAAAAATTTGTCAAAAAAGGACCAGCTTATATATCTGTTAAATATTGTTTTGAAAAGAATAAATAAAAAATATAGAACATATATAATGTTGAAATTATTGGAAGCGTATTGAAATATTTCTTTGGAATCTCTAGAAATTCAGCAGGATGGATTAAAAGCACACATGTTGTGAAGGAAAGGAGTACATGTGAAATAACTGTAGCTATAATAATAAAATATAGCAGTGCTTTTTATAACCTCAAATGAGAAAGATGTCGCAAACAACATGAGAATTACTGAACCCATGTATTTACTCTATGCTTTGGGATGGAATGTGTGGGGTATTGTGCAAAGCTTTCAGTCATAAAAGTGGAAGTGTCTTGCTTTGACTTCTGTATCTGCTTGCCAGCTGTATGACTCTGAATAAGTCATGTAACCTATTTATAGTATCAGTTTTTTTCCTCCATAATTGCAAGGTTAAAAAATATTAACAAGGTTGACATGAGGATTAAAATAATTACATCATACAAAATTGCCTTATAAAGATAAAAACTACAAAATATCATGTCAATATAAGGCACTGTTACTGTAGCAAAATATAAGGAAAAAATTGCAACTTTACTGAAGACTGGAAAAAAGTTAAACCATTATTCCACAGTTTTGAAAATTATATTTTAATTTTAATATCTTAACAAGATTATTACCTGTAAAATTCTAAAACAGAATTGTTTCCAATTAAATCTCTGAGGTTTTTTGTTTGTTGGTTAATGTTCTATTTGATTTCAGGGCTTCATTACATTTAAATATGGTAGCAGCACACATGGAATCATGCAATTATATATAAATCACAATCTTTCCATATTGATTCTTAGATAAACCACTTACATTATAGTCTTCTTCCTGCATTTGTAAAACAATATTAACATAAAATTGTATTCAGTAGGAAAATACTACAGGCAAGCTATGGCCTACAACAACGGTCCCCAACATTTTGGCACCAGGGACCAGTTTCGTGGAAGACAGTTTTTCCAGGGACCCAGTGGGTGATGGTTTCTGTTGGATTATCATAAAGAGCGCCAACCTAGATCCCCCACATGCACAGTTCACAATAGCGTTTGCCCGCCTGTGAGAATCTAATGCAGCTGACCTGACAGGAGGCGGAACTCAGGCCATAATGCTCACTCAGCTGCGGCTCACCTCCTGCTGTGCAGCCCAGTTCTTAACAGGCTATGGACCAGTGCCAGTCTGCGGCCTAGGGGTCGGGGAGGGGGGGAATGGTCTGTGGAGTACGTGGTAAAATGACTGCTCATGAAAAATATAAAATATTCGTCTTGTGAGGTTCTTTGTACAAAATTTTACTCAGAGTATCATTAAAGGCCATTACCTATAAAATAAAACGATGTATGCTATCTTCGAATACAGCAAAATGTTAGTACCCAAATAAGTCAATATAAATGATGTTATAGGGTTATAGGATTACAATAAATGAGGAGGCATCTTGTTGTATTAATAATTAGATAGAGATATAAAATATTCAAACAAATGTAGAGAAGAATCACACCATATCAGAATTATATTTTCAACATCATATAAAAGGCAGGCATTTAAAATTAGGAAATTATGGGATGCTAAACAATTATTCACTCCCATTATATATGCACAATCATTTATATTGTTACCAAATGTTGCCAATAGGTTAAAATGCATAAATAAAAAATGTAGATAAACTGAGTGGCCAACATGTTTATTGGGAATGTGTTTTATATACAGACAAGAATTCACCACTTGCTTATCACCTTTTAAATTTTATTTGATCATGATTTGAAACAATGGCAGGTCTATTCTCACAAATTATATAGGCTATCTGCAGACATTTATTTTGGTATTGTCTCCACATAGAATGATATGCAAATTGATGATCTTTATTTTCATAAACACACATTTAGCTTTATAAACAACTCATGAAACATGTTTAAAACTGTTGGTTTATCTGATGACAACTAATTCATGTAATTCTCAAGTCTACTTATTTACCTATCATTCTTCATTCCAGCACCATTACTACCTTCTTCACTTCATGTGTTATAATTATCTTGGTAATAATAAATATCATTAACCCATAAAATATATAATGTACACACTTGAAAAGCTATAATTAAGAAATGTAAATTACTTCAATTTCTGTTTGTCCAAATTGCTAAAAATATAATAAAAGTTGTATCCAGTTATTGCGTGAAAATCTACTTATGTTTTTTAAAATTATTATTTTATTATTATTATTATTTTTGAGTCTCGTTCTGTCATCCAGGTTGGAGTACAGTGGCCTGATCTTGACTAACTGCAACCTCCACCTCCTGGGCTCACGTGATTCTGCCATCTCAGCCTCTTGAGGAGATGGGACTGTGTGCCACCACGCCCCTGCTGATTTTTGTATTGTTTTGTAGAGACGGGGTTCAGCCATACTGCCCAGGCTGGTCTTGAACTCCTGGGCTCAAGCGAACTGCCAGTCTTGGCCTCCCAAAGTGCTGAAATTAGAGGCATGAACCACCACGCCAAGCCGGTCATCATTTTTAAAAATGAATTTTGGATTTAGTTTAAAGATTGTTAAGACATGCCTCTTCACCTAACAGGGCATACATATGCATAAATGTTTTCTAGAGTCCCTGGAATGTTTCCCATGATGATCTTCAGCATGTTATCAAGTTTATAGTCAGCCTATGGAAGTTGGAATGTAGGATAGGGGATGCATTTGTGATGTTTCTGAGATAGAATATTTGGAACAGAGATTAGAAATTGAGAATGTGAAGATAAGGTTACTACAATAGTTTTTTACATAATATATAATAAATACTCATTGAGTGAAATAATAAGTGGACTTTAAGAGGATTAAAAACTGTAAATAAATTTTATAGATTTTATTGACATTAATGTTGACATAAAAATAGAAAATACACCACCATTCCTTTGGTAGAAAATGCACAGCTTAATAATTAATAAAACAACTATGTAATTATTGTCTTAAAATTATCTGGGGACTTTTTCCTTATGAATTTTGCTATTTCATAATTACTTAAATAAATAAAAATGAAAGAATAATTGAAAACAGTTTTTCTGGCTTATTCCGGAACACTTAAGAATTTAACATGTATTAATAATATTTTTTCCACTGACCATATAACCTAACATACATTTTGTGAGAAGTTTTTAAAATAAAGTGGAAAAGTTATTTCAGTTAGAATTGTTAGCACAAATCAGTTCCTTGAATGTCATTCTTTAAATTCTTGAGGTGTCATGGAGCATCTCACATTGATGACTTTTCTCCACAAAAGTGTGTGCGTACTGGCTAAAGGATTTCCAATGCATTGCTGAAAGCACTGTTCTTTTAACACATGCTTTTGCTGGAAGAGTTGTTCTTGCATGCTAATAAGATGATTCCCAAGGGCCACATCTTTTCCCATTGAATTCTGAAATAGTTTTACTGCTCCTAGGACACATATGCAAATCACATTAAATTACAGAGAACATGCAACCCACTGTCAAACATTATAGACTAATGATCATGACTGCCGAAGTGAATCTACCAAAAAATATGTGTAATGTAGAAGAAAATTTGAGTTTTTCAGACTTTACAAAGTTCTTATTGATTGGAATAAAAGAATATGTTAAACACTACTAGTTTATAGGAATAAGAAAGGGAGCAAAATACATGAACCATTTATTTCAGTTAAACAATACATGCTATTCCTTGTTTTCTTTTCTTATCTCTTCCAACTATTAGATGCAGATGAGCAAAAGAAAATTGATTCTAAAAGGTAATAATTTCAAACACTTATTAATACAGAATGTTTTGTACTATACACTACTTTACATATGTTATCTCATTTTATTTTAATAAATGTATACAATGGGTGTTGTAATCCCCAGTTTACATAACATTAAAATTAGGTGTATGGATAGTAAGAAACTCCCTCAATACTGCAGCTAGGAAGAATAGCTGAAAGGATTCTGAAACATTTTATCTTACTTCAGAATCAATAATCTCAGTAAGCATTATATACTGCTGCATGAGGAAATGTTTTATCCCATGAACACAAAGATATGTTTTTAGAGGATGCATCCACATAGGTACTCTCAATTAGAAATTAGAGAAGAATAAGAATACTATAAACTTAATTATTGCAGAAAAGTATTTAATAATTCTCAATATCTATTTCTGATATAAATTCAAAAAAAATAACAAAATCCTGAAAGCCACCATAAACTACTCTTCCCTGTGTCTACCCTCTTTTTCAGTGACATCACTGCTACTCCCATTAAATGATAGATCCATCTTTGTACCTTGTTGAGTCTGTGCTGGATACTTTCTTCCACTAACAGAATGTAGTAAAAATTGTGTCGGACTTTAGGATGCTAACCCTTAAGAGGCATGGCATCTCCTGCTTTCACCTTTTACAAGTGACTTCCTATTCAGAAGATGATTTTGCGTAGTAGGGAATAAGACAGCACTGAGGACACCCCAAACAGCAACCAGCACCACCTGCCTGACATCAGAGTGAAGCCATCTTGAACCTCCCATTCTCAGTTGAGCTGTCAGATGACTGCATCCACAGGCAATCCCAGGGAAGACGAGCAGAAGCCACCCAGATTGCCAAACCATAGACTAATTACAAAATGTAAATCATACAGCTTAAACTACTAAGCTTTGAAGTTTATTACACAATAATAAATTGCCAGTGCAGAAAGAGTCCTTCTTTTCCATAATATATAATTATATTTCAAATCACCATATATTGTACTACTTAATAGTGAAGCATTAACACTTTGCACAATAAGGTAAGAAAATAATTTGGATGGTAACATATTGAACAGATAAAATTTGACTACCAAGTCCTACGGAAGGGACTGGTTATATCATCAGCAACAGATTTTCTCTCTTTGAGTACACAGATAAACTACATTTCCAAGACATATTTCATCTATTTGGGCTCCTGTGATTAGTTCTTACCAATAAAATATAACCACAAATGTTATGTAAATTCCATACGAAGACAATTTTATCTTTTCCTCACTTTTTCTCTTCACCTCTGGCTTCAAGCTGAAATACTTTGAGATGTTCAGCCATTTTTGGAAGATGTCAGATTCACGACTTGGAAGGATCCTAGGTCCCTGAGTCACTGCAGGAACCAGAACACCCATGACCACCATCACCACTAATTGGATTGGATAATAACATAAGTAAACAACAAACTTTTTCTGTTAACCCACTGAGATGTGTGGTTTACTTTTTACTGACATATAGCACGGCCTATTTAATACCTATTTTGAAACCATCTGTCTCATGTTCGATACGGTTTATGTGGGGCTATTTTTCTCATCTCCAGTGATAAATCCATGACCCAGATTTGACTAATAAAAGTCCATCAGTATCCTGGCTAGATGCAGTAAGTGATTTAACAATAACACTTAACCCAAATGGGGCCAATCAGCACATTCTCTGGGGCATTTATGCCAGTATATTCAGTACAGACATTTCCTCAGCTTTGGGATTAGAAGCTGAATGGATGTTATAAACTGAAGTGGCTGACATCTATTTTACGGGCTTAACGAAAGAATTCATTTGTTGTAAGAAAGAATGAGAATAGCATGCAAATAAAAGCAGAGTTGAGAGACGTGGAAAGAAATATCCCTCAGAACATATTTTGTGGTTATAGTTTCAGTCATGCCTGAAGTCAATTCTTCCTCTGGACCTTAGTCAGGTGCTGATTCACTTTATATACTGGTTTTTAATATGTAAGTGAATTTGATTTGGATTTACTTAAATTGCAAACAGAGTCCTAACGGCTGTTATCATCTCTATTATTTAATAGTCTGTTGAAGTTTTATACAATGCAGTAAGAAAAACAGTATACATATTTGAAAGAAGTGACAAAATTAAGATTATGCAATTGCTGACCTACACATTTTATTTAATCAAATAACAAATTAATCAATTTAATGAGAATTTGCCAAGTCAGCATTCTAATGTATATAAAACAGCTTACTTATATATTTTAAAAATCGATTTAAAATATGCAGAATGATTTCATTTCTATTCTATTTCACCTCAATTGTCTAAGTTAGTCACGGTAATTATATTAATTTACCAATATTAGCTGGTGCAGAGGTCTTGTGACTTGTTTAGGAATGGCCAATTGAATTTTAATTATTGACAATAGGGAGTAGGAAGTTGGCCACTTTTGATCAGGGGGGTGTTGTTAAAAGTTTCTTCACTACTAAAAGTAAAATAAGCACAGAGATAGTCTCTTATTTTTCCATAGATACATTATGCATGGAAGTAACTGCTAAAGCCATCTTTCTATAAGCCCGAAGATGGCATTTCAAGAATGCTCATGATATCATTGAGTTACTGTTCTCATCCACACTTGGAGCCTGCACTGCCTCAGGTTTTGACATGTGGGTTTGCTGTTGTTGTTTGTTTTGTTTTGTTTTTTGCTCTGTTTGCTTGCTTGTTTGTTTGTCCTCACTCATCCTTTTTTGAGTAGTTTGAGGCAGCTTCAATAAAAAATAATTTTTCAAAACTCCTTCCCTTGAATTTATTGCAAGTATATCTTTACCATGTATATCCCAATACAATATTTTATGTATAGATCCAAAGATAGAGTCAGAATAAACCATGACAAATTTTTAGACGTGAAAATTTAGAGACGTGTGCTTTCAACATCTCCTCTTGTTTTTTTTTTCTGATATTGGTTGTTTTAAGACTGAGTGTTACAGGGAAACCTTTACTTAAGATTAACATTAGTCCAAAAAAACATGGGAAGATATGAAAGAAAATCACTAGCGAAATCAACATCTGAAAATCACATATATTTGTGTGTATTTTTGTATTTATGAGTATTTTATTCCACTTTCAACAGCCACCAAAACGTCAAAAGTACATCGATAAAACCTATCATCTTAGAGATAGATCAAAAAATAAAAGAAACTGTAAGTGGAAACAGATATTCCTAGTTATGTGAAAATGTGTGACATCCTACTGTAAAAATTATTTATGGATATAGAACCATGAAGACCAACCTTTAGTGAAGGACCATCTCAATATCTAGAATGAGTGAATGGCAATCTGAATTGAGATTGAGATTCATATACAGCACTCAGAAGCCTGTAGAAGCTGCATGATTTTTGTCTGCTTGGGAAAATACAAGAGGCTTGCCATTTGGAACTGTGTAAATGTAGTCTTCATAGGTGTACTGAAGATTAAATGTCGAACATTTCAACAACTATAAGAAGGAACCATATATCAAATAATGTAAAGCAGAAATGGACATCCTGAAACACATGTGGGAAGTTGCATTTCAGTATTTCTTTTTGGAAGGAACGGACTTGTGGAATGAATGGAGGAGATAGATGGGATGGCTATGAGGGCCCCTAAATACGATGTTATACATAAAAATTAAAGATTGAGCAGATTCTCAAAATAATATCAGATAATTAGCTGATATCAGCTTCACTTTAAGATTTATCTGAGAAAGAATCATAGATCAATTCTGCCATTCACCTGTGGCATCTTAGGGAACCCATGTAGGTGGTGCCTTTCTTTGGCCTAGATGTAATTCTCATACTTTTGAAATTGGTAATATAACAAACATCTCATATACTCAAGGGGCCTAGAGACTAAAGTGCTATTCATTACCTTATATAAGGCAAGGACTATTGACAGACCTCTTTCTAAACTTCAGCAGTAGTATTAAGTAACAAGACAGCAATACATCTGACTGCTTGTTTGTCAAAGAAATTTTGCAAGCAATACAGATTTAATTTTTTACAATGTGAAATGTATATTTCTGAGGAGCATGCATTCTTGGTATGAAAAATTACTTAAGGACAATAAGTATAGCAGACACTATTGGTGCCCATATTCATATTCACCCAGCTCACTCAAGAGTTCACCAGGTTGGCAAAATAACTCAACTCCTGGAGGTCCCCCTCTGAATGAGGAGGATGAAACCATCCTCTGTCTTTTGGTACCTCAGCTCTTGCCCATAAACACGAAGGCTATATTGCAAGAATAGAGATAATGCATTAATCGAATGCATGGGCTACTTCTTCCAAAGGCTGACCTCACTAATGCCACCGCTGTTGTCTAACCTCACTGCAACAAAGAACATAATGGTGTTTAAGTAGGGTACCCTTTCTAAAAAAGACCAACCAGATACTTGGTGGCAAGTTGATTTCATCTGACCTCTTTGCCCTGAAAGTGTAGGGCAATATTCTTACTGGGAGGGATGCATCTTCTGAATTTGGATTTACTGTCTTGTTTGCAGTACTTCAGTTCCTTGACTTATTAAGGATTCTTTCCATGGAAGAAACTCTCATGCTAAAAAGTCCATGATTACTAGTTAAAATGTGACCCAATTCCTTAATCACTTTAATTCTCTAAAAAATAAAAAAAAAACACATTTTACATTTTCCCCAAAATGCTATTGTCAAGAAATACTTAAAAAAGTATACAGCTGATAAAAAGTCAGTTGGTTGATAAAAATTTAAAAATGCTTCTTCTAACTAAATATTTCACTCATTTGAAATTTCCTAAGGGAACTGAATCAATAGTTTTTTTTTTCTGGCTTAGAATCAAATTTGTGATAATATTAATTTGTCTCTGAAAATTGTTATAGTCAGTACTTGCAATGAAGTTAGGAAACATTTTTAATCTGACTAAATAATTTTTCATCGTCTCTAACTTTAATCAAACAAGTTGTTGAACAAATTAACAATAACCAGATTTTTATTATGACCAAATTACCTCAGCCTCTTAAGTAGCTGGAACTACAGGCATATGCCAAAATGCCCAGGTAATTTTTTAATTTTACTTGTAGAGACAGGGTCTTCTTATGTTACGTAGGCTGGTCTCAAACTCCTAGGCTCAAGCAATCCTCCTGCTTTGGCTTCCCAAAGTGCTGGGATTACAGGCGTGAGCCACCATACCCAGCCTATGACTCTTAAGACTTGGAGTTTGCATAGTCTAGTCTCCTTACAGTCACTTGTGCTTTTTCTGCAAGATAGTGAACACTAATAGCATTACTTACATAAGATTTGAAATATAGTAATGTTAAATTATCGCTGTTTTCACATTATAAATCTACATGATGATTTATATTAACATATTGGAATATTTCAGTACTGACATTTTATTTGAGAATTCATAAGAGTATGAAAAGGTGATATTGATATACAATACATTTGTGGTTCTCATTTTTTTAGGTTTCTATACCATGAAATGCTGAAGTTCCATAAGTAACTGAAAAAAAATTTCCTCTAATCCTAGGCTCTGGAAAATTTTAAATTACTAAGTTTTTATTTGGTTTTTCCAAATGTGATTTTTGAATTTATTCACAAATCATTCTATTTAAGGAAGTTATACTCTCTTGTGGGAGTGTCTTCACCAACTTCATCAATTTTTCCATAATTATTGTTTTAAGACAGTATTCTTAATCTTTGTTTAATTGATTTTGGTAGTTTGTACGTTCATTATGTGAAATGAAATTTGTGGATATGTTACAATTGACATATTTCTAAGAGTATTTTTTATTAACGTTATTATTTGTTAATTCAGCAAGTATTTATTAACTACTGGCAGATTAAAAAAAAAAAAGGCTAATCAATAGATCAGCCCATGTGGTAGCTTGCATTCTACTAGGATTTATCCCTAAATACAGAAACTATATCAATAGCTCATAGTACCTGACATATAAAGGACATACAATAAGCATTTATTGAATGAAGGAGTGAATGGATAAATGAACAAATATACCTCAGGGCCACAGCATTCCAGCACCATCTCCTCTAATTAGAATATTTCATTTTATTGCTTTTACATTTTATCAGCATTGTTAGGAGAAAAACATACTTTCTTTAGAAGCACAGCGGAGTCCTCTCTCTTTCACTCATGCTTTTCCTAGAGTGGGTATGATACTTCTTCATTAGTTTGAATTAAGGGACTTGGTGTGGGCATCTCTGACTCTCCCTCCATTTCCTCCTTAGGATCCGACCTTCCCTCAGAGAGGTTATCTTATGGCCACTGGTATAATGGCACCCAGTTTACAATGAATGATAAGCTTTGTGTGTGGAGTACCTGTGATTTCTGCAGTAATTGGGGCAGAGAGGGCTGAGAGTAAATCAGTGTAATTTGATGTGTCCACTTTTGTTACATGTGTAAGTCGTATTTTCCAATGTAGTTCTATTGATAATAAAGCTGATACCTTGATATTTGTCTACCACTTGATTGTCTTTCTTAATTGGCTCAAAGTTCTTGTGGAATAGTGAGGTCCTAATTATTAAGCACACTCAAAAATCACATAAAAATCACTCTAACCTAGCAAGAGTTTCTTTAAATAGATTTTGAAATGAATAAATTCTGTGCAGAATGCTTATAAATGAGTTTTGTCAGGTGATATGCCTTTATAGGAAGTGAAAAGAGGAGGATTGAGTCGAGTGGCATGGACTTCCAGTGTAATTGTAGCTGAGGCCTCAGCCAATCCTGAAGGCTCTCTGGAGCTGCGGTGTGTCTTAGAGTTGTCTCACATTGAGACACAGGATGGCACATTTTATACTTGAGTTAGAAGTCAGTCATGGGCACTGACTGCCGCCTGGAAATGAACATACTTGTATAAAGTAGTTCCTGTGGCTGAAGACAGTGCCCAATGAAAAACCTAACTGTGAGAAATTAGAAAATGATATTCATAAGAATTGCAAAATGGTTGGGTTGGCAGAGAAAAGGGGAAGTGAGTGAACCATCAGAGAATCCACTAGGACTTTGAACCATGTTGCTCTGATTCATAATTTAATATTAATTTTATCACTCTTACTTTCCACCTGAAAATTTGCCTGACATATATTTGCCTATTTACATTTTTTTGACTTTCTTTGTCATCACGACTTTTATAAAAAGACTACAATGTACCTTTTGGATACGTATTTTATTGACATTTTACTTAAGCATATATAGAAAACTGCACTATGCACAAATTTACATCTATTATATATAATAATATATTGGTCTGTCACAAGCTTCTTCATCTGTAACATTTTAAAAGTTCTCTTCCATTTTCCCTAAACATTCAGGCTCACAACTCTACTATAAGCCACACTTACCAACAGTATATTCAGAAGTATATTATCAGGAAACAACAAACAAAAAAAGAAACCAATATATATATGTATTATGTATAATAATATATAATAGATGTAATCTTATATCTCTTATATATTATATATAACCAATAACCCAAAGTTACTTAAAAAAACACAGTGATACAGAAACTCTCTCAGTCCCAATCCCATATTTTCTTAGCTTTTAAAACTATCGATTAATTCTTCCTTTTTTAATATACATTAAATCATATGGTCTTATAGTAGCCATATTGTTTTGGTTTTTATATATCTCTATCCTTGAGTAAGTATTACATGACAAACAACTATATATTTATAATAATTACCACATGTATCTTGTGTAAATTATTCAGTTTTAAAATTTTTTAGTATTGTTAGGTATTCTTGCTTTGTTATATTAACAAATAGTTACCATTACTCACACCAAGATGAAATTGTCTTCTTTAGGCAGATTCAAGCTTTCTTCTTCTTTTTCTTCTTCTTCCTCTAATTATTATTATTGTTAATTTTATTATTACTAAGAGGAGAAGGAAAAGTAGGAGTATTCAGTGTGAAAATCTTAGTCTTTAAATTGGAATATTTGCTTAATTTAGAGTTCATGTGATTGTTGACACAATTAGGTTCATCTTCACAATATTGCTGCTTCTGCTCTATTTGATCTATGGTCCTTTTATTATTATTTCTCTGAGTTTTTGCCTTCTTTATAATTATTTGGATTCTTTTATTTATCTATTTTTCTTTCAATTAAGCTGTATGATTTTCATCATTCTATCATTTTTTCATGGTTACATTACAGATTACAAATAGTATCCTTCGATTATTAAATACTAATTATGACTTTACCATTCTAGAATTTTAGAACATTTAAACCTATGTAGCAGTTTTTAATTTATTTCTTCCTCTTACATTTTCTGTTTTATATGTATTTTTATTTCATAAGTTATTTTTATTTTCATGAAGTGACATGCTATTTATAAGAATACAATGCATATCATTAGGTATTTATATTTCATCTCAAGATCTTCTCATTCTATATGAAATTTATCAGTGATATGTTATGAGCAATGTTACTTATTTATATTTTAATACATATCACGTTATTATTTTACCAGGAAAACAGATAATATAGCCAAAGACTGGCTTTTCATATGGAAGTGGAAAGGGCTATAGCATTTTAATCTGAAGCAGAATTCGATAAATATTTTTTTTCTGGGGATTGCTTTATATATTTTAAACTGCGATGAAACTGGTACTGTTAATGAGTAGTATAGCTAATGTTTAATTATTTCACATTGTTTTAGTATTTAGCCTATCAATATATTCAATATATATATTTTTTGTTTTCTAAGTTTTTGCTGTATTGTTCATGCTTTTCTTTTTTTCTCTCTCTCTTTAATGAATGGTAGTTACCAATCAATTATCATTATTTTTGTGGTTCTTATTTTTAAAAATGCAACTCGTGTTATACGTTTGTCAATATCCATATTATTTTTTATAATATAATGTTTAATATAAACATTTAAAACTGTTACATATACAACTATGAACTACATAAAACTAAAAACCATAGATTATAAAGCATTAAAAATTCTAAATCTTGTCAAGGCATTGGTATAGCTACATGCTAAAAAGTTTTTATAGGTCATATTTTTATTATATTAAGTTTAATACATTTTCTAATTTTCTTTATAATTTTTTCTTTGACTCATAGATTATTTAAAAGTGTATTGCTTATATTGAAATAGCTGGACATTTTTAAGCCATGATTTTGTCATAGATTTTAGCATCTACTGAAAGAAGAAATATACTTTGTATTATTTCCATTTCAGATATTTGATGAGTTTGGCTTTATGGTCCATCATATGATTAATTTTTATAATGAATCCATAGGCAATTAAAAAGGGAAATATTGTGCAGTTATTAAAGTGATCAATTCATGTCATTTATGTCAATATTTTTAATCATACTGTTCAAAACATCTATATTCTGACTAATTCTATTTTTTGTCTTTTTGTTATCAGTCATTAAAATAGTTTTTTTTTAAATCAACTATAATTTTAACTTTGCCATTTTTCCTTTTTATTCTCCAGGAAAGCTGAAACAGAACAGTGACTATTGAAGGAGGAGAAAAATTCCTAGCACAGAAACAAAAAAAGCTGCAACACACCTTGAGTTTATTATGAGAGTTTGCCTGTCCAATGCATTCTCCAAATAGAAAGGGAAGAAATAGCAGCTCAAGTTAAATTTGGAAGATTAAAAAAAAAATACATTGTACTAAATATGTTAATTATTAAACTAAAAGAGTTTTGTGGCTTTTTTTTCTAACTAGAAATGACGAAACAACTTTTTATTTCATAACAGTTACAAAAAATTCATGGATCATGCTCTATTTTTTTCTTTTCTTTTTTTTTTTTTTTTTAGACGGAGTCTTGCTCTGTCGCCCAGGCTGGAGTGCAGTGGCGGGATCTCGGTTCACTGCAAGCTCCGCCTCCCAGGTTCACGCCATTCTGCTGCCTCATCCTCCTGAGTAGCTGCGACTACAGGCACCCGCCACCACGCACAGCTATTTTTATTTATTTAATTTATTTATTTATTTATTTATTTATTTATTTATTTATTTATTTGTATTTTTAGTAGAGACAGGGTTTCACCGTGTTAGCCAGGATGATCTCGATCTCCTGACCGCGTGATCTGCCTACCTCCGCCTCTCAAAGTTCTGGGATTACAGGCGTGAGCCACCGCGCCTGGCAAGACCACGCTCTAATTTTATCATAAAGTAAGGAATAATTAGCATCCTAGAAAATCATAGTCTTGTACATGTAGTGGAAGTTAAGCAATAAAGTTAATCAACATTTTTTATGTAGTTATCACTTAGTTAAATCTGATACACAACTCCATATTCATCTTATTTGAGCTTTCATGGCATTGACTGCATTGACAATTTTGTTTTAGATTACAAAATACCACACTGTCTTGATTTTTCTCTTATAATTCTGGCCAGATTTATTTTTATTCTTTTATTTGAATAAGATATTCAATTTTCTACAGATTTTATAATTTCTATTAAGAACTACCTATAAATGCCTGTAATCCCAGCACTTTGGGAGGCCGAGGCGGGCGGATCACTGAGGTCAGAAGATCGAGACCATCCTGGCTAACGCGGTGAAACCCCGTCTCTACTAAAAATACATAAAAATTAGCCGGGCGTGGAGGTGGGCGCCTGTAGTCCCAGCTACTCAGGAGGCTGAGGTAGGAGAATGGCGTGAACCCAGGAGGCAGAGCTTGCAGTGAGCCGAGATTGCACCACTGCACTCCAGCCTGGACGACAGAGCGAGAATCCGTCTCAAAAAAAAAAAAAAAAAAAAAAAACAACTAGCTGTAAGTCCAATTGTTGCTACTTTGCTAAAAATGTGTCAGTCTGGCTTCTTTTAAAATTTCTATTAGCTTGGGTGAAACAATTGTTTTATCCTTATGTACTTACGTATGATTATTTTTATTTATATTTCATGGAGTTGACACATCTTAATTTGTATTGATTCTTTACTGAAATATTCTTGAGGCTAATAATACTGTTTTCCTTAGGGTTGTAATTTCTGTGCGTAGAATGCATCTTGCAGAAAATAAATATCCATTAAATATTTCATGAAACACTTTTTAGTGACAGTGTGATGAAGTTTCTTAAAGTTAGGTACTGGATTGTACTCTATGCATCTATATTTTTCCTCTGGTCAGTACTGACTTATGGTGGTATAGAACATCATATGTATGCTGATTTTTCTTGTAACTGAAAACTTTTTAAATATCATAACTGGAACTGATCATCTTAAATTTAAAATTGTATTATAGGCTTTATCAAACCCACTGGACTCAGTACCTTGTAATGTAGAAGAAAACTCATTATGGATACTCAGGAAACACTCATAATTGCATAGTACCAAGGCAATTGCACATGGGAAATATCTAGTCATTAATAAATATCCTATGAACATTGTAGCAAGTTATGCTGTTGGCCACATATGTAAATGAACCATAAACTCAAATATAATGCAGGTGATTTCAGTATTTTATTAAAATTTGAATGATGTTAAATTCTATTTTACATATTCTAATTCTAATTTAAAATCCATGGCTAATTTAATTTTGAGTTTAATTCTAATTTAAAAATTCTAATTATAATTTGAATTCTAATTGTAATTGTAAATCAATTTTGATTTAAATATTGTTAATCTACTTCAACTTTTTTGACTACTTTTATCTATTTTTCCAATTATACCTATATTAGATTTTTTGTCTCCTTTTAGTTATCATTGTTTTCATTTTCTTTAAAATCCAAAAAAAGTTCTTGAGCTAATTGACTAAATTTTCAAAACAGTTTTCTCCTTTATTACATAGATTGTCTTGTTTTTTTACTTAAAAGTTTTACTAGTCTTTCATCATTTTGGAGAGTTGTTTTTTCTGAAATATTTGGGCCCTCTCAAGTTTCAATAAAATATGGCTTATAAATGTTTGAAAGTATAGTTTCTTACTACAGTACAAATCTGTTTTTCTGGGTGACAGTAATTCATATATTTTCAAAATGATTCCCCACCTTTTAAGATTAATCTTTTAATAAGTATATCTGCTGTTTCCCTCTCTCCTTTTTCTTCTGACCTTGAAAGAGAACAAAGTTCTATTATTGGTATTGGGAATTTTCAGAAAAAATGTGAAATTCTCCTTAAATGTTTTATTTCTAAAGAATAAGGTAAAGTTTTTACTTTCTACAAAATTGTACTTTGCTAGATCATAGGATGCTTGGCTCTAGATTTATGCAATGAACTATGAAAAGAAAAATAGTTATTGTTTTTGTGGACATCCAAGTTGTTGAAGACACTACTTATCCCTTCAAATGAAAGGGAACGGTTGAGGTTTATTTTCTACATCTGATTTTTTTTTTCCTTTCATTTCTTGCTTCTGGCTTTTTTGAATGCTTGTTCTACCCAAGTAAAACCTACTGAAAAAGGAATAATTCTGCAAAGTATATTAGGGCAATATACTTTGCTGAGCAGTGTGTTTTTGTTTGTTTGTTTGTTTGTTTGTTTGTTTTTCGGTGTGTGATTGTGATGACTTACATTTAACTGTGGTTTCATACTCTTCTCTATGCTCACACCTTAGGAGATTAGGATAATAATTTTTTGTATAGTATGCTATTACTTAGCATATTATACAAATAAAGGAAAGCTGGGGATAAATAATCTTGCAAAAGATACTTCTGCAGAGCACTAATAGAGCAACTGAAGTTTATTCTAGTTTTCCCTGCTCGTGATCTCTGCTTTCACTCCATATACCCTCTGCTTGGTAGTACAGTGGTATTCTTGACCCTGCTAGAAAAACCCTTTACAGATAAATAATTCATTTATTTCCGTTAGATGACTAACAATAAGTAGTTAGCTTCAAATTTGTTCAGACTTTCTAATGCTTAACCATTGTTCATAACTATCCAGTTTCACAATATTATTATTTTATAATGGTTTGACTATGGCCACATTATTTTGTAGGGGAAAACTTTAATAAGTGAGCTACTTCTCCTTTAGGTCACTGTTTTACATGATCATAAAATTTAATATTGACATTAAGAAAAGTAGGCTACTTATTTTGCAAATTAATTGATGCAGTTTCTTCATAGTGTCATTGGTCTTCATATTTTAGTGTGTTTTTGCAGTGGCTGGTACTGGTTTTCCCTTTTCATATTTAGTGCTTCCTTCAGGAGTTCTTGTAAGGCAGTCCTGGTAAGCAACTTCAGCAAAGTCTCAGGATACAAAATCAATGTGCAAAAATTGCAAGCATTAGTACACAAAAAATAGACAAGCAGAGAGCCAAATCATGAGTGAACTCCCATTCACAATTGCTACAAAGAGAATAAAATACCTAGGAATACAACATACAAAGGACTGGAAGGGCCTCTTCAAGGAAAACTACAAACCACTGCTCAAGGAAATAAGAGAGGACACAAACAAATTTAAAAAATCATGCTTATGGATAGGAAGAATCAATATCATGAAAATGGCCATACTGCTCAAAGAAATGTTTAGATTCAATGCTATTCCCAGCAAGCTACCATCGACTTTTTTCACAGAATTAGAAAAAAACTACTTTACATTTCATATGGAACCAAAAAAGACCCCGTATAGCCAAGACAACCTTAAGCAAAAAGAACAAAGCTGGAGGCACCATGCTACCTGACTTTAAACTATACTACAAGGTTACAGTAACCAAAACAGCATGGCGCTGATATTAAAACAGATATATAGACAAATGGAACAGAACAGAGGCCTCGGAAATAACACCCCAGATCCACAACCATCTGATCTTTAACAAACCTGACAAAAACAAGCAATGGGGAAACACTTATTTAACAAATGGTGCTGGAAAAACTGGCAAGCAGTATGCAGAAAACAGAAACTGGAACCTTCCTTACGCCTTATACAAAAATTAACACAAGATGGATTAAAGACTTAAACATGAAACCTAAAACCATAAAAACCCTAGAAGAAAACCTAGGCAATACCACCCAGGACATAGTCATGGGCAAATATTTCATCACCAAAACACCAAAAGTAATTGCAACTAAGCCAAAATTGACAAACAAGATCTAATTAAACTAAAAAGATTCTGCACAGCAAAAGAAACTATCATCAGAGTGAACAGAAAACCCACAGAATGGGAGAAAATTCTTGCAACCTATCCATCTGACAAAGAGCTAATATCCAAAACCTACAAGGAACTTAAACAAATTTACAAGAATAAAACAACCCCATCCAAAAGTGGGCAAAGGATATGAACATATACTTCTCCAAAGAAGACATTTATGCAGCCAACAGACATGAAAAAAAGCTCATCGTCACTAGTCATTAGAGAAATGCAAATCGAAACCACAGTGAGATACCATCTCATGCCAGTTAGAATGGCGATCATTAAAAAGACAGGAAACAACAGATTCTGGCTAGGATGTGGAGAAATATGAATGCTTTTGCACTGTTGGTGGGAGTGTAAATTAGTTCAACCATTGTGGAAGACAGTGTGGCGATTCCTCAGTGATCTAAAACCAGAAATACCATATGACCCAGCAATTCGATTGCTGAATATATACCCAAAATATTATAAATCGTTCTACTATAAAGATACATGCACACCTATGTTTATTGCAGCACTATTTACAACAGCAAATACTTGAAACCAACTCAAATGTCCATCAATGATAGACTGGAAAAAGAAAATGTGGCACATATACACCATGGAATACTATGCAGCTGTAAAAAAAGAATGAGTTTATGTCCTTTGCAGGGACATGGATGAAGTTGGAAACCATCATTCTCAGCAAACACAGGAACAGAAAACCAAACACCGCATGTTTTCACTCATAAGTGGGAGTTGAACAATGAGAAAGCATGGACACAGGAAGGGTAACATAACATACCGGGGCCTGTCGGAGGCTGGGGGGGAAGGGGAGGGAGAGCATTAGGACAAATACCTACCTAATGCATGCAGGGCTTAAATCCTAGATGATGGGTTGATAGGTGCAGCAAACCACCATGGCACATGTATATCTATGTAACAAACCTGCACTTTCTGCACATGTATCCCAGAACTTAAAATAAAATTATATAATAATAATAATAATAATAATTGAGAAGCAAACAAATTCATGGAATTAATTCTTTAGCGAATCAGTTTAAGTGTAGTGATCTGTTTTATATTCATTATGATAATTTTGTTTTCTTTTTACATGTTTAAAGCATCACTAAGACTTATGCTCATCAAATGTTTGAAAAGTCTGATTAATTTTTTATATTATTTAATGCTTAAATGTTTAGAGGGTTCAAATTTTTAAATGCCTAGTTTTGTTTAACACTTAATAATTTAGCTTTTTATTTAATATTAAGTTTATGAAAGCATTGTGTACTTAGAGAAGTGTTAAATGTTTTAAAAATGATCAGCGGACAATAAAAAAGTACAAACAAAACAAGTACGTTATTAAAAAATTTGGTATGGCATGAGTTTATGTATCCACTTAATTCAAAAGCCTAATTGAATTGTCAAAGGTTAAGTTCAATAAGTATGGTCTTGAAACTGAAACGCAGGGTTTTTTTGAACCAAATAAAAGTGTAATATGATTTATTGAGAGATTTTTCTTGCTGATATTATCCAAAGGAAAGCACTCTAGTCATATCTTGCCCCATGAATAAACCAAGGAGAAATAAACAAAATAAAAATTAATGGCAAGATTTATCATTCCCCTTTGTATGTCAACCTCCAAAACTCGTACTCAAGTTTGAGTAAAATATAGGAACTTTACCATGCCTTACCACTTAGTTTTATTTCTTAATGAAGTCATTTTAAAAGAGCCAATTCTTATTGCCAAGTTTTATATTTTCTCTATAGGATAAAACACAAACTTCCACTAAGCTTTTTCTTTCCCAACTTTCCTTTTTTATCCCATGTGTAGCTTCCATCAAAATGTGACACCTCTTTCAACAGAGATGTGAATTCACACAGAAACATCACTTTTGTTCCCCTTTAAAAACCTACATTTGGTTGTGAACTACTTTGACAAGAAGTTGTCACTGTGCTCAGTGTCATCCATTTACCTCATGATTAGCCCTCATAATTCATTATTTAAAATGTTTCCTTAAGGCTAATAAAAGTCCATTTTTTATACTGGTAAGTTTGTTTTACAATAATCTAGAAAAACATCTGTTCTGTAAATCCCAAATTCTCCTCATCAGTAAGAATTTTCTCTACTTCAGTGACCTTGGATTTCTATTGCATTCCTTCAATTACAAACCCATTATGTATTTCTACTTATAAATATTGGGAATATATTGTATTATGCTTTAGGTAATATTCTAGAACAAAGAACTTAGTGATAAACAACCCAGGAATTATATTTTCACTGGGGATGAACAGCAGGAAGGAAAGAAAATCAATCAATAAATAGTACATTTTTATTTAACATTTATAATCTTTCTTTCTTTCTCTAGCAGATTTTTTTTATAACAGTTATTTTAAAATTCCGAATCTCAGCCAGGTGCTGTGACTCTTGCCTGTAATTCCAGTGATTCAGGAGGCTGACGCAGGAGAATCACTTGTGCCCAGGAGTTGGAAGCTTCGGTAAGCTATAATGTGCCACTGCACTCCAGCCTGAGATGAGTGAGACCTCATCTCAAATATATACATATATATTTTATATATATATAATTATATATAATATATAATATACTAATATATAATATAAATTATATAGTACATGTAATTAATATATAATATGTAATTTATATTATATATATATATGAATAGGTTTATATTTATGGAAAAGTAGTGAAAGCATCACAGAAAGTTTCCATTGACTCCATACCCAGTTTCTACAATTATTAACGTCTTATGTTAGTATGGTACGTTATATACATTTACTGCAATATCAACACATTGTTAGATTAGTACCATCCATGCTTTATTTAGAAATTTTAATTTTTATCTAATGTCTTTTTTCTGTTCCAGGACCACATTTAGGATATCTCAGTGTCCTTAGTTTTCATGTTTCCTAAATTCCTTTTAATTACAAAGGCTTCTCTGATTTTCATTGATTGTGATGACGTTGACAGTAGGAAGGAGTAATGTTCAACTACTTTATAGAGTGCTCCTCACTGAGGGTTTTCTCATGTTTTTCACATGATTAGATTGGGGTTATGAGTTTGTGGAGGAAAGACTGCAATGGTAATGTGCTATTTGCATCATATCTTAAAACGGGTACATACTATCAACTTGACTCATCACTGCCGTTAACCTGGCTGAGGTAGTGTTTCTCAGGTTTCCCTACTGTGAAGGTTATTATTTTCCCCACAATTTTATACTGTACTCTTTGTAAGAGTGATATTTTCATTATTGATATAGTAGGGAGTTATGATCTGCCTAATGAAGGACGGAGTATTTGCATAAATTGCTTATTCTACTTCTATTTATTCATTCATTCATTTATTTTTTATATAAGTATAAACTCACGAATATTGCTTTTTCTATTATTGGCTATAACCCAATACTACTTTATTATTTTTTCTCAAATTTTTGTTTTGTCTTTTGAGAGCTCTTTCAGTTGCTTCTTGTGTTGCTTCGACATACCTCCATCATTGTCGGTATTGTTTTTTTGTTGAGTACTTCCATACTTTCTAGCATGACAAGATGCTCCACGTTCACCTTGTGTATTTCCTGCTCCAGACCTAAAACATTTCTTCACGAATCTCTAGTTACTTGTTTTAATCTTTCAATGTATTTTTGGAGGATGATATTAGTAACCAAGGGCTGTATTCTAGGTATATTAAATGCTAATTACTACAGGGATGTTTTTTCTTCACAGCCATCTAAGCTACACAGCAAAGGAATATATATGTGTTTATTAACCTGTGTATAAATAATTTTATATGTATCCATATGTTCCTACATTAAGCTAAACATCATCAATTTATACTGATATTTCCATCTCAGATTTATTAGATTGGATAATTCTATCAATAATAGTTCTGTCCATGTTCAAATTTTTAACACCATATACCTCTTCCAGCTATTTTCCTGGTTTCCCATGCCCACCCTTAGAGTATATATTAGCCACAGTAAACTTCATTTATTTTATAAAATTTGTCTAAGAAATATGTATACAATATTTCCTCAAGTTAAAATATCATTTTATATGCTGCAGGTTCAAAACTTTATCATTTATTCTTATTTATATGTCATTCTCAGGTAACATATAGGGATCATGTTTTGTTCTTTTTCTTCCCAAAATTGAATGCTTCTGCTATATCTTTCCGGACCTACTAGAATAAATATTCTACATTATATGTTGCTTCCTTAATCTTCTATCTTCCACACCATACTGCTAACTTTGTAACAGAAGGTCCTTTTGTATCTGGTTAATCATTGTATGCCCTAAAACATGTGAAAAAATTAATACACTAAAATATTAAATAAATAAAAAAGGAAACATTTTAAAATTAATAATAATTTTTGGTCTGTGTTCATATCCTACCCCTTAACTAGACAAGTGATTTAAAAATTTGGTATATTAGAATTCTGTGAAAAAAAAATTATATGGGAAGATTTTCAGAGACATGCTAAGCTTTTCTCTCTGGTAAAAGTAGAATGCCTTTATTCAGACCAATTCCCCTAGAAAAGCAGGAAAGTTGGAAAAGTATAAAAAATGTGTTAGAAGAATACAGAAAAAAGGCAGCAAGCACTTGACTTTTCAAGATTCTGCAGAGTAAAAGCTCAGGGAAATGAACACGGTATTTGGCAGCACGTATTTCTTTGAAGCTTTGCCAAGTCAAGAGAGGCCACTAAGAAGCTGGAATATGAATAAAGCTTTCGTTAGACTCAAAGATAGTTGGAAAATTTGGGAGTTCATTGTCTACAAAAGAGGCAGATCTGGGAAATACCCAAGAATTTTCAGTTCAAACCTACAAGGGCTATGATATGGGAATAGAAGTGAACCTGAAATTGTCCAGCCTTAACAAAGAATGCAGCATAGCTTCAAATAGACTTAGCTACTGATTAGACTAAGTTAATTTGCTGCTGCACCAACTTGCTACAAGAAGCAAAGGAAATGTTCTCTGTAGAAAAATAACATGATGAAGAGCTGTTAATTTTCTTTCTCTCTCGTTAGAGACATAAAAATTTATCTTTTGGATCTTCACCATGAGAACCTGGTAATTTCCAATAAGGAGGTAAAACCCATGAAAGTGTAGTGTCCCCTAATTCTGTCATGCACAGGAGTTATACTCTAACACACTTAGATTCAAATGCAATTAAATTAGAAATAAATAACAACAGAAAGTAAAAAATTGTGCAAATATAGATTAAACACATAATTCTAAAGAATCTATAGGTCAAAGAAATAGTTTTAATAGAATTTTAAAATGTATCCACCTTACATACTGTATATATACATCTGTACATAAATACATATATATATAATACATATGTATAGGTATAAAGGGAATAAATTCAACCATCACAGATGAAAGATTGAAATTTTTTTTAAAAAAGCATTTGTAGTGAACATGGATAGACTTTTTTTCTAGCCATTATTGCCTAAATGAAACAGTACAACTATATACAGAGTATTTACATTGTACTAGGTACTATAAATAATCTAGAAATTATTTGAATTATATGGGAGGATGTGCATAGGTAATTTGCAAATACAACACCTTTTTATAAAAGAGACTTGAGCATCTACAAATTTTAGTATTTGTGGTAGGTACTGGAACTAATCTCCCATAGATGTCAAGAAACAAATGTAGATAGATAGATAGATACATACATACATACATAGATGATTGATTTGTTGATTGATAGAGAGGAGTCTGTTATGAGCAAAGTAGATCAAGCAGAAGAAAATATTAGCAAGCTTGAAGACAGGCTATTTGAAAGTAAACAGTAGAAACCAAAGTAGAAAGAAACAGGATAAAGTAAACTCACAAGACCTAAAAACTACCCTCAAATGAATAGATTTAAGAGTTATTGGCTCTAAAAAGGGTGTAGAGAGAGATGCAGAGGTAGAAAGTATATTCAAAGAAATAATAAGGGAGAACTTTACAAACCTAGAGAAAAATATTGTTATTCAAAGACAAGAAGGTTATAGAACACCAAGCAGATTTATTTCAAATAAGACAACCTCAAGACATTTAATAATCAAATTCCCAAAAGTCAAATATAAAAAAGACCCATAAAGCAGAAATAGAAAAGAAGCAAATAATATAGAATGGAGCTCCAATAAGTCTGGCAGTAGACAATTCAGTAGAAATCATACAGGTCAGGAGAGAGTGGCAGGACATGACATATATAAAGTGTTGGGAAATTTTTTTTATCTTAAAATAGTATATCCAGCATAAATATCTTTCAAACATGAAGGACAAATAAAGACTTTCCCAGAAAAGCAAAAACAAAAGGATTTTATCAATACCAGACCTGTCATATAAGAAATTTCAAAGAGGATTCTTCAATCTGAAAACAAAATTGTTAATGAGCAATAAGAAGTAATGTGAAGTGCAAAACTCACTGGCAATATTTAACAGACACAGAATATTATAACACTATGATTGTAGTGTGATGTTACTCATATGTTGAGTAGAAAGACTAAAGATGAACCTATTGAAATTATAACTACTACAACTTTTCAAGACACAGACAGTACAATAAGTAGAAAAATAAAAAGCTAAAAAGTGGGAGAAGGAAGTGAAAGTAGAGAGTTTTTGTTAGTTTTATCTTTTCTTATTTGTGTGTGTGTTTGGTTTATGCAGTCAATGTTGTCATCAGTTTAATGGATTATGAGACGTTATTTGCAAGTCTCATGGTAACCTCAAATTAAAAAAAAAAAACTACCAAAGATTCACAAAAATGAAAAGCAAGAAATCAAAAGATATAATTAGAGAAAACCACTTGACTAGAAAGAAGGCAGGATGAAGGAAAGGAGGAAGAGAAGACCACAAAACAACATACATATATATATGTGTATATGTTGGCCTTAAAGAGGAAGCAGAGAGAGATACAGCAGTAGAAAGTATATTCAAATAAATCATAAGTAGCACTTTCCAAACCTAGAGACAAATTTTTATATATCTATGGCAGGAATAATTCTGTACTACAAATTACAAAATTACAAAAATGAATATAAATGGACTAAACTCTTGAATCAAAAGTAAAAGAGTGGCTGAGTAGATTGAAAAAACAAAAAAAAAAAACCCAAGACTCAACAATCTGTTGCCTGCAAGAAACACACTGCGCCTAAAAAGACATACAAAGAAAGAAAATAAAGGGATGGAAAAAGATATTCCATGCAAATGGAAACCGAAAAAAGAGGAGAAAAAGCTATATTTATATCAGACAAAATATATTTTGAGAAAAAAACTATACAGAGAGAGGAAAAAGTCATTATATAATGATAAAGGGGTGAATTCAGAAAGAGGATATAACAATTTTAAATATGTTTGTACCTAACACTGGAGCACATAGATATTTAAAGCAAAGATTATTAGAGCTAAAGAGAGAGTTAGACACCAATGCAATGGTAACTTAAGCATCCAACTGTCAGTATCAGACAGAGCATCTATACAGAAAATCAAAATAGAAACATTGGACTTAATTTGCACTATACATTGACCATATGCACCTAATTGATATTTACAGAAACTTTTATCCAGTGGCTGCAAAATAAATATTCTCCTCATCATGTGGATCCTTTCTTTTTTTTCCCCCTTTTTAAATTGTTTTGAGACAGAGTCTCACTCTGTCACCCAGGCTGGAGTGCCATGGTGCAATCTTGGCTCACTGCAACTTCCATCTCCCAGGTTCAAGTGATTCTCCTGCCTCAGCTTCAGGAGTAGCTGGGATTACAGGCATGCACTACCCATGCCTAGCAAATTTTTGTATCTTTAGTAGAGACAGGGTTTCATCATGTTGGCCAGGCTGGTCTCAAACTCCTGACCTCAAGTCATCCACCCACCTCAGCCTCCCAAAGTGCTGGAATTACAGAGGTGAGCCACCACACCCAGCCACATGGATCATTTTCAAGGAAACACAAAATGTTATGCCACAACACAAGTTTAAAAATTAAAAAAAAATGAAAATCAAATGAAGTATCTTTTATGACCATAATGGAATAAAACTAGAAATCAGTAACAAGTGGAACTTTAGAAATTACACAAACACATATAAATTCAAGAATATATTCCTGAATGACCAGTGGGTCAATGTGATGGTTAATACTCAGTGTCAACTTGATTGAATTGAAAGTATTGATCCTAGGTGCATTTGTGGAGCTGTTGCCAAAAGAGATTAACATTTGAATCAGTGGTCTGGGGAAGGCAGATCAACTGTTTTTTTGTTTGTTTGTTTGTTTGTTTGTTTGAGATGGAGTCTTTGTCTGTTGTCCAGGCTGGAGTGCAGTGGTGCAATCTTGGTTCACTGCAAGCTCCACCTCCCAGGTTCACACCATTCTCCTGCCTCAGCCTCCCAAGTAGCTGGGACTACAGGTGCCCGCCACCACGCCCAGCTAATTTTTTTTGTATTTTTAGTAGAGATGGGGTTTCACCATGTTAGCCAGGATGGTCTCGATCTCCTGACCTCTTGATCCACCCGCCTCAGCCTCCCAGAGTGCTGGGATTACAGGCATGAGCCATTGCACCTGGCCCAGATCAACTCTTAATCTGATGGGAATAATCTAATCAGCTGGCAGTATAAACAAAGCACACAGAAAAATGTGAAAAGGGGAGATGGGCCTCGCCTCCCAGCCTATGTCTTTCTTCCATGCTGGATGCTTCCTGACCTCAAACATGGGACTCCAAGTTCTTCAGTTTTGGGACTTGGACTGGCTCTCCTCACTTGTCAGCTTGCAGACAAAGCCTATTGTAGGACCTTATGATATTGTGAGTTAATACTTTATAAACTCATATATATTCATATATACATTTATAAACTCATATATATAATTTTATATATATATACACACACACACACACACACACACACACACACACACCATGAGTCCTGTCCCTCTAAAAAAACCCTGACTAATACAGATTTTAATACCAGGAGTGGTTCTAGAGGAACAGAATATTAAAAATGGAGTTCTTTTATTGGTTTTGGGGTTTCTGGAGTTGGGTAGTTAATATGATTAGACCCAAAAATGCTAAGGACTCTATTTTGAATAGTATGGAGAACACTGATAGTCTTTGATGTGAACTGTTTAGAGAGTTATTCAAAACAAATGCATTTGACATTCTTGACTCACTGCTCGTGCGAGGAAAGTTTAGTGACTCTGTACATAATATCTTTGACCATATATGGAGAACCAAGGAACATAATGAAGCTGGTTGGTTGTTGCTAAGTTCAGTGGACAAAGTGATAAAGGAAAATATGAACTCAGGGATTCTGTCTCCTGGCTACAGAAGCAGATACTGAGCCTCAAGTCTGCTAAAATTCCCTGAGTGAGAGTCTTGATTCTTGTAGAGAAAGAGCTGAAATTGTGGAAAAACAGACACAAGCTCTTATCACGTGAGTAGGAGACCTGCAATGAAAAATGCATGCATAGCCTTGCTAGGTGTCTACTGTTAAGGTGAGGGCATTGATTGGAAAAGAATGGGACCCTACAACTTGTAATGGGGATGTGTGGGAGGACCCTGATGAAGCTGGGGACACTGAGTTTGCAAACTCTGAGGAATCTTTTTTTGGCCAGAAGAAACAGCTTCCCCATCTCCAGGAGGGGCAACAACCCCTAACTGACCCGTGGTGCCATCAGCCTTTCCACCTTTGTTTGAGGAGATAAACTCTGCACTGCCTGAGGCAGCAGTGATGGCCTCCCCTGAGGCAGTTGCCAGGGGAAATAATGTTGATTCTCCTCAGGAGCTACCCCCAACACCTCTCTTTCTGTTGAGAACCATAACTAGACGAAAGTCCCTGCGGGTCCCTAGAGGTGAGATTCAGAGTGTGACCCATGAGGAGGTGCACTACACTCGAAAAGAACTGTTTGAGTTATCTAATTTATATAAACAGAAATCTGGAAAACAGGCATGGGAATGGATATTAACAGTATGGGATTCCACAACATTCCACCATTATGTGGAAGGAACATGCAGTTGGATCAGGCTGAATCTATTGATTTGGCTCACTAAGTAGGGACTCTGCTTTTAATGTTGTAGCTTGGGGAGTTAAAAAAAGGTTCTAATAGTTTATTTGTTTGGTTAGCTGAAATATGGATTAAAAGATGGCCCACTGTGAGGGAGTTGGGAATGTTTAATCTGCCTTGGTTAATTGTAGAGGAAGAGATCCAAAGGCTTAGGGAGATTGGGATGGTGCAGTAGATTAGTCACTTTAGACCTACTCACCCCAGCTGTGAGGAGCCAGAAGATATATCCCTGACCAATGCCTTGCAAAATAGATTTGTGAGGGCAGCATCTGCATCTTTGAAGAGGCCTGTAATTGCTTTTCCCTGTATGTCAGATCCAATGCTGGGAACCACAGTCACTCAACTACAAAATTTAAATACAATGGGAATAATTATATCCTGAGGTGGCAGGGACCAAGTGGCAGCACTCAACTATCAAAGGCAAAGTGGGAATAGCTACAGAAATGGACAGCCAAGGCAAAGTGGCAATCAGAATAGTCTGACTCATATAGAGCTCTGGCATTGGCTAATTAATCAGGGTGTTCCTAGAGGTGAAATATATAGGAAGCCCACTACATTCTTAATTAATACAAGCAGAAAACATCTCAGTCAAATGGATGAAAAACTAATTTAAATTATAAAAACAGAGAGTCATGGCCCCACAATAATTTTCCAGACATGAGCCAGTTTACAGACCCAGAACCCCTTGAATGAAGGAGAGTCATGGTCCCTTTGAGGAAGGACCCCATTACATTACCAACAATTTATGCAGTGAATCTTTCTCCCATCCTTCCCCAACAAGACCCTCAGCCTTTTACTACGTTAACTGTGCATTGGGAAAAAGAAAGTGATCAGACATTTCAGGGGCTACTGGACACTAGCTCTAACTGATGTTGATTCCAGGGGAACCAAGATGTCATTGTGGTCCTCCAGTTAAAGTAGGGTCTTATGGAGGTCAGGTAGTTAATGGAGTTTTAGCTCAGGTCTGACTTACAGTGGGTCCAGTGGGTCCTCAGACTCATCCTGTGGTCATTACCCCAGTGCCAGATGCATAATTGGCACAGACATACTTAACAGCTGGAAGAACCCCCACATTGGCTCCCTGACTGGTAGAGTGAGGGCTATTATGGTTGGAAAGGCCAAATGGAAGCCATTAGAGCTATCTCTACTTAGAAAAATAGTAAATTGAAAGCAATATCACATCCCAGGTGGAATTCCAGAGATTAGCGCGACCATCAGGTGAAAAACGCAGGGGTGGTGATTCCCACAACATCCCCATTCTACTCTCTCCCATTTGGCCTGTGCAGAACAGATGGATCTTGGAGAATCTGTTCTCCAAGACAGATTAATGTAATGATCTGACATTATGTAATGAATGACAGTGGATTAATGTGAGTTTAACCAAGTGGTGACTCCAATGGCAGCTGCTGTACCAGATGTGATTTCATTGCTTGAGCAAATTAACACATATACTGGTACCTGGTATGCAGCCATTGACTTGGCAAATGCCTTTTTCTCCATAAGGCCCACCAGAAGCAATTTTTAATCAGCTGGCAAGGCCAGCAATATACCTTTATGGTCCTACCTCAGGGGTATATCAATTATCTGGCTTTGTGTCATAATCTTATTCAGAGAACCTTGATTGCTTTTTGCTTCTGCAAGATGTCACATTGGTCCATTACATTGATGACATTATGCAGATTTCTTCCAGTGAGCAAGAGGTAGAAACACATTGAACTTATTGGTAAGACATTTGCATGCCAGAGGATGGGAAATAAATCTGACTAAAATTCAGGAAACTTCTACTTCAGTAAAATTTCTAGGGGTCCAGTTGTGTGGGGCCTGTCAAAATATTCCTTTTAAGGTGAAGGATAAGTTGCTTAATTTGGTACTACCTAAAACCAAGAAAGAGGCACAATGCCTAGTGGGCTTATTTTGATTTTGGAGGCAACACATTCTTCATTTGGGTGTGTTTCTCTGACTCGTTTACCGAGTGATCCAAAAAGCTGCCAATTTTGAGTGGGGTCTAGAACAGGAGAAAGCTTTGCAACAGGTTCAGGCTGTTGTGCAAGATGCTCTGCCACTTGGGTCATATGACCCAGTAGATACAATGGTGCTTGAGGTGTCAGTGGCAGATAAGGGTGCTGTTTGGAGCCTTGGCAGGCCCCCATAGGTGAATCACAATGAAGGCTAGAATTTTGGAGCAAGGCCCTGCCATCTTCTGCAGATAACTACTATCCTTCTCTGAGACAGCTCTTGGCCTGTTACTGGGCTTTGGTGGAAACTGAATGTTTGACTATGGGTCATCAATTAACCATGCAATCTGAACTGCCTATCATGAACTAGGTACTTTCTGACCCATTTAATCATAAAGTGGGTTGTGCACAGCAGCATTCCATCATCAAATGGACGTGGTATACAATTAATCGGGCTCGAGCAGGTCCTAAAAGAACATGTAAGTTGCATGAGGAAGTAGCTCAAATGCCCATGGTCTCCACTCCTGCCACCCTGCCTTCTCTTTGCCAGCCTGCAATGATGGCCTTGTGGGGAGTTCTCTATGATCAGCTGACAGAGAAAGAGAAGACTAGGGCCTGGTTCACAGATGGTTCTGCACGATATTCCGGCACCACCTGAAAGTGGACAGCTGCAGCAGTACAGCCCCTTTCTAGGACATCCCTGAAAGATAGTGGTGAAGGGAAATCTTTCCGATGGACAGAACTTCACATAGTGCACCTGCTTGTGCACTTTGGATGGAAGGAGAAATGGCCAGTTGTATGATTATATACTGATTCAAGGGCTATAGCCAGTGGTTTGTCTGGCTGTTCAGAGACTTGGAAGAGACATGATTGGAAAATTGGTGACAAAGACATTTGGACAAGATGTATGTGGATGGACCTCTCTGAGTCGTCAAGAACCATGAAAATATTTGTATCCCATGTGAGTACTCGCCAATGGGGGTCCTCAGTAGAGGAGGATTTTAATAATGAAATAGATAGGATAAACTGTTCTGTGGACACCACTCAGCCTGTTTCCCCAGCCACCCCTGTAATTGCCCAGTGAACCCATGAACAAAGTGGCCATGGTGGCAGGGATGGAGGTTATGCATGGGTCAGCAACATGGACTTCCACTCACCATGGCTGACCTGGCTACAGCCACTGCTGAGTGCCCAATTTGCCAGCAGCAGAGACCGATGCTGAGCCCTCAATATAACACCATTTCTTGGAGTGATCAGCCAGCCACCTGGTGGAAGGTTGATTATATTGGATCTTTTCCATTATGTAAAGGAGGAGAGGTTTATCCTCACTGGAATAGACACTTACTCCAGATATGGGTTTGCCTATCCTGCATGGAATAATTCTGCCAAAACTACCATCCACAGACTCACGAAATGCCTTATCTACCATCATGGTATTCCACACACCATTGCTTCTGACCCTGGCACTCACTTTACAGCTAAAGAAGTGCAGCAGTGGGCTCATGCTCATGGAATTCACTGGTCTTACCATGTTGCCTATCATCCTGAAGCAGCTGTATTCATGGAACAGTGGAATGGCCTTTTGAAGTCACAATTACAGTACCAATTAGATGACAATACTTTTCAGGGCTGAGGCAAAGTTTTCCAGAAAGCCATGTATGCTCTGAATCAGTGTCCAACATATGGTACTCTTTCTCCCATAGCTAGGATTCGTGGGTCCAGGAATCAAGGGGTGGAAGTGGAAGTGGATCCACTCATGATCACCCCTAGTGATCCACTAACAAAATTTTTACTTCCTGTTCTCACAACATAACGTTCTGTCAGCCTAGAGGTCTTAGTTCCAGAAGGAGGAATGCTGCCATCAGGAGACACAACAACAATTCCATTAAACTGGAAGCTATGATTGCCACCTGGACACTTTGTGCTCCTTCTACCTTTAAGTCAACAGGCTAAGAAGGGAATTACAGTGTTGGCTGGGGTGATTAACCCAGACTATCAAGATGAAATCAGCCTACTAGTTCACAATGGAGGTAAGGAATAATATGCATGGAATATAGGAGATCCATTAGGGTGTCTCTTAGTATTACCATGCCCTGTGATTAAGGTCAATGGGAAACTACAACAGCCCAATCCAGGCAGGACTACAAATGGCCTAGACCTCTCAGGAATGAAGGTTTGGGTCACTCTACAAAAAACAAACAAACAAACAAAAATACATGACCTGCTGAGGTGCATGCTGAAGGCAAAGGGAATACAGACTGGGTAGTAGAAAAAGGTAATCAATACCAGCTATGACCACGTGACCAGCTGCAGAAACAAGGACTGTAACTGTCATGAGTATTTCCTTTGTCTTTTGTTAAAAACATGTTTTGTACTTTAAAAAAATCTTTATTTCATTTTCTTTATCATGTGACATAAAATTTATTGACTTCATATCAGCATTTAAGTATTGTTACCTTTATGTAATAGTATTTGGGTTGGGGATTGATTCAATTCCAGTCGTACAAAAGATAGTTGTAGTACGTTAGGTATTATTATGACTTTATTATTGTCTTTATTTGAACATTATGTATGATCTCAGGAGATGTGTATGGATTCAAGTTGACACGGAGTGGACTTGTGATGGTTAATACGGAGGTCAACTTGATTGGATTGAAAGTATTGATCCTGGGTGTGTCTGTGAGAGTGTTGCCAAAAGAGATTAACATTTGAGTCAGTGGGTTGGGGAAGGTATATCCACCCTTAATCTGGTAAGCACAATCTAATCAGCTGCCAGTGGATAGAAAGCAGGCAGAAAAAACCATGAAAAAGGAAGAAGGGTCTTTTCTCCCAGGCTACATCTTTCTCCTGTGCTGAATGCTTCCTGCCCTTGAACATGGGACTCCAAGTTCTTCGGTTTTGGGACTCAGACTGGCTTTCCTTGCTCCTCAGCTTGCAGACAGCCTATTGTGGGACCCTGTGATCATGTAAGTTAATACTTAATCAACTTCTATATATATATATATATACATAAATATTTAATCAACTTCCATATATATATACATATGTGTATATATATACATATGTATATATATATATGTAGTATTAGTTCTGTCTCTCTAAGAGAACCTTGACTAATATAGTCAATAATAAAATGAAGATGGAAATTAAATAAATATAGATAGATAAATACAAATGAGAGTGGAAGGATCACAAATGAAAACCCATGGTACCTAGTGAAAGAAATACTGAGAGAACAGTTTGCAGCAATAAGCACCTACATCAAAAAAGTAGGAAACCATAAAATAAACAACCTAACAATGTATCTTAAGGAATAAAAAAGCAAGAGCAAACCAAACTCAAAATTAGTAGAACAAAATAAATAATAAAAATCAGAGCTGAAATAAATAAAATTGAAATAAAGAAAGCCCTATAAAATATCATCAAAATGAACACTTTTTGTATGGAAAAAGTAAATAAAATCAACAAACATTTAGCCTGGCTCCATAAGCAAAAAGCGGGAAGACACAAATAAATAAAATCAGATATGAAAACGGTGACATTACAACCAATACTGCAAAAATTGAAAGGGTCACCAGATGTTCCTGTGAGCAATTATATGCCAATAAGTTAGAAAACTTAGAGAAAACTGGATAAATTTCTAGACACATACAATCAACCAAAATTGAGCCATGAGAAGTCCACAACCTAAACAGACCAATAACAAGTAATGAGATCAAAGCAATAATAAAAAGCCTCTCAGCAAATAAAAGCACAGGACCCAAAAGCTTCATTGCTGAATTTTACCAAACTTGAAGAACTAATACCAACTTTCCTCAAACTATTCCCAAATATAGAGTAGGTGAAAATACTTCCAACCTCAGACTTCGAAGCCAGTTATTTCCCTGATACCAAAACTAGACAAAGATGCATCATAAAAGAAAAGTACTGGCTCATATTTTTTATAAATATTGATGAAAAATCCTCAAGAAAATACTAGTAAACCAAATTCCACCACACATTTAAAAGATCATTTATCAGGGCCATATGGGATTTATCCCTGGGATGTAAGGACGGTTCAACACGTGCGAATTACTCAAATGTGATATTTCATACCAGGAGAATGAAGGACAAAAACCATATGATTCTATCAATTGATGCTGAAATCCCTTTCATGATAAAAAACTATCACAAAAAAAAAACATGGATAGAAGGAAAATACCCATATATGACAGTCCCACAGCTAGTATTATACTGAAAGGGGAAAAACTAAAACCTTTTCTTCAGGATCAGAAACATGACAAGATCTCTACTTTCATGACTATTATTCAACATTGTACTGGAAGTTCTAGCTAGAGCAATGAGACAAGAAAAAAAAAGGGGGCATCCAAAATGGGAAGGAATAAATAAAATTATCCTTGTTTACAGATTATATGATCTTGTATTTGGAAAAACTCAAAGGCTCTACCAAAAAGAAAAAAAAAAAACTATTAGAACTGATAAACAAATCCAGCAAAGTTGCAGGATACCAACTCAACACACAAAAATAAGGAGCATTTCTATATGCCAACAGTGAATAATTTGAAAAAGAAATCAAGAAAGCAATCATATATATTATAGCTACCTAGGAATTAACGAAAGAAATAAAAGATCCCTACCATAAAAACTATAGAACATTGATGACATAAATTGAACAGGAAACAAAAACTAAAAAGATATTCCATATTCATGGATTGGAAGAATCAAAATTGTTAAAATGTCCATACTACCTAAATCAGTCCACTTATTTAATGTAACCTCTATCAAAATACTAATGACATTCTTCACAGCAATACAAGATAATCTTTAAATTTATAGGATTCCGCACACACACACACACATACACGAAAAGCAATAGCCAAAGCCATCCTGAGCAAAAAGAACAAACCTGGAAGAATCACATTACTTGACTTTAAGTTATACTACAAAGGTATAGTAACCAAAACTGCAGGGTATTGGCATAAAAATAGACACATAATCCAATAGAACAGAACAGAGAACTCAGAAATAAATCTACATTTCTACAGTGAACTGATTTTTTGACAAAGTTACCAGGAACACACATTGAGGAAAGAACAGTCTCTTCAGTACATGGTGCTGGGAAAACTGAATATCCACATTCAGAAACATGAAACTATACCCCTATTTCTCACCATATACAAAAATCAAATCAAAATTGATAAGAGGGTTAAATCTAAGAATTTAAACTATGAAACTACTGAATAAAATTATTGGGGAAGCTATCCAGAACATTGGTCTGGGCAAAGATTTTTTGAGTAATACCCTACAGGCACAGGCAATCAAAACAAATATGGACAAATGGGATCACATTAAATTAAAAAAGGGAAGAAAAAACCCACAAAAGAGCAGAAATCATTTGCAAACTATACATCTTACAAGAGATTAACAACCATAATATATAAGAAACTCAATGGGAAAAAAAATGAATAATCCAATTTTTAAAATGGGCAAAAGACCTGCATAGACATTTCTCAACAGAAGACATACAAATGCAAAACAGGTATATGAAGAGGTGCTCAACATTATTGATCGTTACAGAAATGCAAATCAAAACTAAAATGAGATATCATCACACTCCAGTTAAAATGACTTTTATCCAAATGTGAGGTGATAACAAATTCTGATAAAGATGCAGAGAAAAGATAACCCTTGTACACTCTTCTTGAGAATGTAAATTAGTACAACAACTATGGAGAGCAGATTTGAGGTTAATTAAATAACTGAAAATATAGTTACTATATGATCCAGCAATTTTACTGCTAGGTATCTGAAGCAGTATCTTCACTCCCATGTTTATTGCAGCACAATTAACGATAGCCAATATTTGGAAGCAACCTACATGTCCATCAACAGGGGACTGAGGAAATAAAATGTGGCATGTATACACAATGGAGTACTATTCAGCCATAAAAAAGAATGGGATCCAGTCATTTGCAACATCATGGACAGAAATAGAGGTCACTATGCTAAGTGAATTAAGCCAGCTACAGAAAGACAAGCTTCCCATTTTCTCACTATTTGTGAGAGCTAAAATTTTAAACAATTGAACTAATGGAGATAGAGAGGAGAATGATGGTTAGCAGAGACTGGGAATAGTAGTGGGGAGGAGAAGTGGAATGGTTAATGGGTACAAAAATGAAGTTAAATAGAATAAGATCTAGTATTTGGTAGCACAACAGGGTTACTATAGTCAATAATAATTGTATATTTTACAACAACTGAAATAGTGTAATTGGATTGTATATAAACAAAGAAAAAATCAATGCTTTAGGTCAGTGGTCACCTACCTTTTTGGCATCAGGGACTGTTTTCTTGGAAGACAAATTTTCCATGGACCGAGGCTGAGAGGGAAGATGGTATCAGGATGAATCTGTCCCTCCTCACATCATCAGGCATTAGTCGGATTCTCATAAGGAGCACACAACATAGATCCTTCACATGTGCAGTTCACAATAGGGTTTGTGCTCCTATGATAATCTAATGCTACTGCTGATCTGACAGGAGGCAGAGATCAGGCAGTAATGCTTGCTCACCCGCTGTTCAACTCCTGCGGTGAGACCTGGTTCTAAACAGACTACGGACCAGAACACAATCATAGCCTGAGTTTGGCATAGCCTGCTTTAGGTGATAGATACCCAATTTTTCCTGATGTGATTATTACACATTACATTCCTGTATCCAAATATCTCACATATCCCATAAATATATACACCTACTATGTACCCACAAAAATTTGAAATAAAATTATTTTTTAAAGAAAATTATAGGAAAGATCAAATACATTTATTTATTAAATGGAAGTAGATTATCAGATAGTTATTTATCCTTTTTCTCTTCAAGTTTCATAGTCTGAGGAGCAGGAAGAAGAGGAAGGTTTGTTCTTGCAGTCTCAGTGGTGGCAGAAGTTAAAGAAAATTCATGCAAAATAGACCTGTGTTGTTCAAGAGGCAACTGTACAATTCATGATGTTCACACAACAAAGTTGCCTAGCATTGCATTTCTCAGATTCTATCCTTCTGCTAAGTGATGTATGACTATAATTTCAAAAGAAACAATAAGTGGAAAGATATCCATGCTCATAGGTCAGAAAAGTTAATATTGTTACAATGTCCACACTGCACAAAGAAATGTACAGATTCAATGCAATAGCTACCAAAATTCCAAGCACGTTCTTCACAGATTTAGAAAAAAAATTCCCAAACTTACATAGAACTACAAAAGACCCTGAATAGCTAAATCCATCTTGATAAAGAAAAACAAATATAGAGGCACTACACTTTCTGCTGTCACACTATATTACAAAGTTATACCAGTCAAGAGAGTATTGAAAAGTGATGTCAGCAAGATAATGGATCAGGTCTGTTGGCATTATCCCTCTCTCTCTCACACACACGAAACTAGAAACTATTCAAAGACAAAAATACTACCTCGAGTTAATCAGAATTCAGGGTAGAGTTAAGAAATCCCCTGGGTAAACAGAATTGAGAGATGTCTAATCTAATAGGAGAAATGGTCATTCCAGATCGCACCATGTCCTTCCCCAGACTGCTATCAGGGAACTCGCAGAGAATTTTTCTTTATACACGGCATACAAGGCAAGAAGAGGGAACTGGAGCTTGGCATTCAGTCTACCCATCAGTCTGAAAATCTTTGTGGGAAATCCTCTTTTGTCCCACTCCACAGGAACCTTTGGGAGTGCCAGCAGTGCTGGACCACCTAGGGTAAATTGGAGATAAATGTTATAGAGCTGGATTGCAATGACTGATGTGTAAATTATGGTGGCTACTCTGTCATCTAATTTGTGAGGACATCACATTCAAGAGACAGTCTGATCACAACAATGCTTCAGGGAATGCAATCAATGAGAAGGTCCAAATCCTTGGCTGGATTTTTCACAGAGTGTTTGTGGAGAATTAGTCTGGCCCAGAAACAACTAAAAGGTCAGAGTTAAAGTCCAATGTCTGCTTAAGTCCTCTCCACAGTGGAAAACAATGAGAGGGCAGCAATATAGTGCCAGGGCAGCAGTTTACTCCAGGTGTTTCCTACGAGTCTTTCTTAAACTGAGAACCTATGGGAGGGCAGCAAATTAGTTCCAGAGCAGTTTTTAAGATTTTGATGTTCACTATAGGTTGGCCACTGATTGGGAAACAAGGGCAGAGAAACCAGTTAGTTTCAGTGCAGGCTTTTACTCCTGGTGCTCACTCTAAATTCTCCCTAGATTGGGAAGAAACAACAGCCAAGCCTTTAAGTTTCCATACCTAGTAGTAGAGATCTAACATGACTAAAGAAAACTTAAAAAAACTGGAAGAGGTCACTGTCTCCTTAAAGGCATAGGCATCCACATAAAGATGGGAAGACTGTGGAAACTAGAGAAATAAAATACCACAAAAAAAAACCCAAAAATGAAACTGACCAGTCTCCATTTATGGACCCCCCCAAAATTAACATTTATGAAATGTCAGAGATTTAAGAATTATCTGCTTAAGGAAGTTCAAGTAATCACAAGAAAATGTGAATAGAAAAAAAGTAAAATTGGAAAATAACCCAAGAACAAATTAGACATTTAACAAAGAAATAGAAAAAAATTAATGAAATCCATGAAATAAAGAATATGATAACTGAACTGGAAAACTCATTAGAAAGCTTTAACAGAAGATGTGAGAAAACAGGAAAGAATTAATGAGCTTGAAGACAACACATACAAAATTATTTAATCAGAGGAATAAAGATAAAAAAGAAGAAAAAAGTGAGGAAGGCATAGAAAGCATATTTTTTAAAAAATGTGTCAGTTGGGTGTGGTGGTTCATGCCTATAATCCCAGCAATTTGGCAAGCCAAGGCAGGTGGATCACCTGAGGTCAGGAGCTTGAGACCAGCTTGGCCAACGTGGTGAAACCCCGTCTCTACTAAACATACAAAAATTAGCTGGCCATTGTGGCAGTTGCCTGGAATCCCAGCTACTAGGGAGGCTGAGGCAGGAGAATCACTTGAACCCAGGAGGTGGAGGTTGAAGTCAGGCAAAATTGTGCCATTGCACTCCAGTCTGGGCTATGAGAACAAGACTCCATTAAAAAAAGAAAGAGAAAGAAGCAAAGAAAGAAAGAAAGAAAGAAAGAAAGAAAGAAAGAAAGAAAGAAAGAAAGAAAGAAAGAAAGAAAGAAAAATATGGAAAGAAAAGTGTCATGGCCAGATGCAGTGGCTCATGCCTATAATCCCAGCATTTTGGGAGTCCAAAGCAGGTGGATTACTTGAGGTTAGGAGTTCGCGACCAGCCTCGTCAATGTGGTGAAAACCCATCTCTACTAAAAATACAAAAATTATCCAGATGTGGCGGCAGACGCCCGTAATCCCAGTTACTTGGGAGGCTGAGGCAGGAGAATCACCTGAGCCTAGGATCATGCCACTGCACTCCAGCTTGTTTGACAGAGTGAGACTCTGTCTCGAAAAAAAAAAAAAGTATCTGAAAATTTTCCAAATATGGAGAAAGGCAACACCATTCAGGCACAGGAATCTAAGGAGCCACCAGTAAAACTCAACTGAAAGAGGATATTCCTGAGGCACATCACAATCAAATTAGCAAAAATCAAAGACAAAAGAATATTTAAATCAGCAAAAGAATAGAAACATATAACATTCAACAGAATCCCACTATGATATTTGGCAGATTTTTCAGTAAAAACCCTGCAGGCCAGGAGAGAATGAAATGGTATATTCAAAATAATAAAGAAAAAAAAATCTGCCAATTCATAATGTGGTACTTAGCAAAGCTGTCCTTCGAGCATGAATAAGAGATAGCCTTTCCTAGAAAACAAAATCTGAGGGAATTCAACAATATTATACCTGTTTTATAAGAAATACATCAATGTAAAAAAATATGCTAATGTGTTACAAGAAAATATTTCAAGGCATTAAAATTATTGGCAAAATAAACAGAAGACAAATTCTGAATGTTTTAATACTGAAATCAGGGAAATTAAACCACTTATATCTTAAATATGGAGACTAAAATACTAAACTATTAAAATCAACCATAACTCCAAAAATTGGTTAAAAGATAGGAAATACAATAAATGAAAATTTAAACAGCTATAAAAATGTGGATACAAGTAGTATTAGAGATTGTTTTTGATAGTTTTCCTTTTGTTGTGATTAAAGATGTTATCATTTTAAAATAATCTATTATAAAATTTTTTGTAAGCCTCACGGTAACTACAAACCAAAAATCTGTAATGGATAAGCTAAAAATGAATAGCACAGAATCAAAACATATCACTAGAGAAAATCAGCCACTAAGAAAGATAGTAATAGAACAAGGAAGGAAAAAAGACGATAAAACAGTCAGAAAATGAGTGACATTATGGTAGTAGTAAATCAGTACCTATCAATAGTTACCCTAAATACAAATGGATTACATTCTTCAATTGAAAGACATAGAGTGGTTTACTGAATAAAAACAAAAAGAGGCCCAACTATGCTCTCTAAAAGGAACTCACATCACCTATAATGACAGATACAGACTGTAAGTGAAGGGATATAAGATGTTTCTTAACAAATGGAAAACATAAAAAGAGTGGGAGTACATGTTTTATAATATAAAATAGACTTTATCTTAATAACAATAAAAGGTCATTACATAATGATTAAGCAGTCAATACCGTAAGATAATACAATTGTAAATATATATGCATCTCACACTAGAGCACCCAAATACATAAAACAAACATTAATTGAACTAAATGGAGAGATTAACTGCAATACAATAATAGTAGGCAACGCCATCTCTCCACTTAATGTAGAGAACATCCAGACAGATGTAATCATTAAAGAAATTATCAGTCTTAGACTATACTCTAGACAAAAGGAACCTAATAAATATTTACAAGATAGTTCATCTAACCATGGCAGAATATAAATTTTTCTCAACAGCACATGGAACATTCCCCAAGATACAACATATATTAAGTAACAAAGTAATCCTTAACAATTTTTTAAGATAAAATATATATCAAGTATTTTTTTCTAATCATATTGCAATGAAACTAAAAATCAGTAACAAGAAAGTTGGAAATGGAAAATTCATAAAAATTACACAACATTCTCCTGAACAATGAATGGTTCAATGAAAAAAAAAAAGCTAAGATTGGAAATATTCTTCAGACAAATTCAAATGAAAAAAAATCAAAATCTTAGGCATACAGTAAAAGCAGTTTGAAAAGAAAGTTTTATGATAATAAACATCTTCATAAAAATATAGAAAGACTTAAAATAACCAACTTAATGACACACCATACCTCAAGGAACTAGGAAAACAAGACCAAACCAAACCCAAAATTAGTAGAAGGGAAGAAATAGTAAAGATCAGAGAAAAAAACAATGAAATTGAGTAAGATAATACAGAAGATGAACAAATCAAAGAGTTTTGAAAAACTTGATAAATAGACTTTTTAAAACCTAAAAAGATGATATGAGTAAGTTCCTAGACACATGCAACCTACCAAGAGTGAACCATGAAAAAACAGAAAAATCTCAGAAACAAGTAACAAGTAATACAATTGAAGCAGTAATAAAAAGTCTCCCATAAAAGAAAACCCCAGGATCTAATATCAGTATCTTTGAAAAACATTGATGAAAAAAAAACCTCAAACAAATAATAAATGTAACGGCTCATTTAAAATGATTTAAATGTAGCAAATTAAATTGAACAACACATGAAAAAGGATTAACCTATGGGATATAAGAATGGTCCAGCAAACACTAATCAATAAACATAATACCTCAGATCAACAGAATGAAGTATGAAATACATATGATCATCTAAGTTGATGTAGAAAAAAGCATCTGATAAAATTCAATAAAACTTTATGATAAATATGTTCAACAAATTAGGTATAGAAGGAACATAACTAAACACAATAAGATCCATTTATGATAAACCCACAGCTAACATCATGCTAAATGGAGAAAGGCTGAATGGTTTTTTTGCTGAGAACTGGAACAAGACTAATACTCCCAGTCTCAATACTCTTATTCAATGTAGTACTGGAAGTCTTAGCCAAGGCAATTAGGCAAGAGAAATAAATAAAAGACTTTCAATTTGGAAAGAAAGCAGTAAAATTAGCCCCTTTTTCAGATGGCATAATTTTATATATAGGAAAACCTAAAGACACGACCAAAAAACTGTTAGAACTGATAAATACATTCAGTTAAGTTACAGAATAAAAAAATCGGCCTACAAATATTAATAGTGTTTCCATATACCATCGACTAGCTGAAAACAAATTAATAAAGCGATCTCATTTGCAATGACTTAAAAGAAAGCCTAGGAATAAATTTAAGGTAGTAAAAGATCTCTACAAACAAACTAAAATATACTAATGCAAGAAATTCAAGAGGACTCAAAAAAATATGGAAAGACATCACATGTTAATAGTCTGAAACAGTTAATATTGTTAAAATGACAATAGTATCCAAAGTGTTTTACAGACTCAATACTATCTCTATAAACATACTGTTCTCATCCTTCACAAAAATAGAAATAAATGTATTCTAAAATTAATATAGAATACAAAAGACCCAGAATAACCAAAGCAATCGTAAGCAAAAAGAACAAAGCTAGAGCCATCACACTATGAGATTTCAAAATATGCTGTAAAACTAAAGTAACCAAAACAGCGTGGCGCTAACAAAAACAGACACGTACACCAATGAAACAGACTATAAAACCCAGAAATAAATCCATGTTTTTGCAGCAGACAGATTTTTGACAAGGACACTAAAAACATAAAATGGAGAAATATAGTCCCTTTAATAAATGATGTGGGGAAAGCTAGATAACCATATGCAGAATTATGAAACTAGATACCAATATTTCACCATATACAAAAATAAAATCAAATTTGATTAAAGACACAATGCAAGATTCAAAACTATATAAAACCACTAGAAGAAAATAGTGGGAGTGCTTCGGGACAGTGATGTGAGAAAAAATTTCATGGTTTAGATCTGAAAAGCACAGGAAATAAAAGCAAAACCATAAAAATGGTTTATGTCAAACTAAAGTGCTTCTGCAGAGCAAACAATTGACAGAGTAAAGAGACAACCTACACAATGTGAGAATGTATTTGCAAACTATTCACCTCAGAGGAAATTAATGTCTAGAATATGCAAGGATCTCAAATGATAGCAATAATAATAATAACAATAATCTGATTTTTAAATGTGCAAATGATCTAGAGACATTTCTCAAAGGAATGCATAAAAATGTCCAACAAACATATGAAAAAAATGCTCAGCATCACTATTCATAAGAGCAATGCAAATCAAAACCATAATGGGATATCATGTGACCCTAATTAGAATAACTGTCATCAAAAATATCAGAAACACCAAAAATAAGAAATGCTGATATGGGTGTAGAAAAAAGGGAACATTTATACTCTGTTAGTGAAAATGTAAACTGGTAAAGTTATTTTGGAGGACAACATGGAAATTCCTCCAAAAACTAGAAATAGACCTACCATATGATTCAGCAATCCCACCACCGGGCCTATATCGAAGTAAAAGAAAATCGATCTATCAAAGTGATATTTGCCCCCCATGATTATTACAGCTTTATTCACAATTGCCAAGATAGGAAATCAATCTAAAGTGTCCATCAGCAGATAAATGGGTAAAGAAAATGTGGTATATACACACAATGGAATACTATTCAGCCATAAAAAAATAGAAATCATGATATTTGTAGCAATAAAGATGAGCTTGGAGAAAATTATATTAAGTGAAATAAGCTGCATACAGAAAAGTAAATATTGCATTTTCTTACCCTACTGTGGAAGAAAAAAACTTGATCTCATAGCATTAGGGAGTAGAAAATGGTTACTAGAGGCTGAGGGGAAAGAGGATGGGAAAAGATTGATTAAAGGGCACAAAATTACAGCTAGATAGGAGAAAAAATTTCTAGCATTTTGCAGCACTGTAGGAACATTATAGTTAACAATAATTTATTATATATTTTCAAACAGAAGAAAATATTTTTAATGTTCCTAATACAAGAAATAATAAATTTTGAAGTGATGGATATGCTAGGTACACTAATTTGATCATTAAACATTGTATGTATAAAAATATGACTGTGTTTTATTAATATGTGTAATTACTATGTTCAATTTTTAAAAACTAAAAAGAAAAAAATTGATCGTAGTTTGAGGAGTCTTTGGTGGCTAGAATTTGTGGACCGAGTACTAGAGGGGATGCAACTACACAGTTAGAAAACTCAAATATATGTGCAAGATATCATCGAGTTGTTGGCTAAGTACAGATCTTAGTGAGAGAAAACTCTGAATGTAGGGAAAGAATTACCATAAAGAAGACAGAGAACAATTCAGAGTTCTTAAATTGCTAGCAATAATTTGTGGCCCCACCAGCTGAAACAGGAAGGCCTCATAAAATACAGAGGGTTGCGTAGAATATGCAAAGAGCTAACACTTTAGTGGTAGGGAGAAATTAGCCCTAGACTAAAGGTTTCCCTGGATGTATTCTAACAAACCTTAAAGGCAAACACTGAAAAAATATGCTTATTCTAAGGGTCATGTGCACCAAAAGAATGTCCAAAATTATACATGGGAATTTTTTTTAAAACACTTCAAGGAGCAACGTAAAATCAAAACTGTTAAGCATTAATGAAAAATTACCAGGGAAGCAAAGAAGCAATATGATATAACAATAAATTAGAGAAATTTTAATGAATGTGAACAAACCCATAAATGATAGAGATGACAGAAACTATCAGAGTACAACATTAAAATGTTTATGAGATATGCAGAAACTACAACAAAGACCTAAGTGAGAAGTCTAGAGATTAAATAATTATCTTAACTGAAAAAAAGCAACAACTGTATTAATAACATATTAGAAATTGGAGACAAACAGATAAACTTGATGACAAAGTCCACAGTTATTCAAAATGAAAAAAAGACAGAAAATATATTAAGAAAATATAAATGAACCATCAATCGCCTTGGAGAAAAAGGCCCTACATATACCAAGTTGCACTCCCAAAAGGAAGAGAGTTGGCAAAAACTTAGAAGAATTAATTAATAAAATTTTTAAGATTTGATAAGAATTATATACTCACAGGACTAAGAAAGTAAATGAACATTAAGCAGAAAAACCTGACAAAATGCCAAGACATGTTATGGCCAAAATTCTGAAAGCCAGTGCAACAAGAAAATATTTCTTTATTTGTTTTTATTGATACATAATTGATATACATATTGTCAGGGTATGTATGATATTTCAATATATTCTTATAATTTATAAAGGTCAAATCAGTGTAATTAGGAACCCTATCACCTTAAATATTTTTCTTTTCATACTACAACAAATTTTTAATTATTCTGTTCCAGCTATTTTGAAATATACAACAGATTACTGAAAACTACAGTCACCCTAATTATCTATAAGACACTAGATCTTATTTGTTTTATCAGACTGTATATTTGTACCTGTTAATCAATTTCTCTTCAACTACTCTTACCCCTACTCTTCCCAAACTCTGGTAAACAGCAGTCTACTCTTTATCTGCATAAGATTCACTTTTTTACCTCCCACATATGAGTTAGGACATGCAGTATTTGCCATTCTGCACTTGGCTTATTTCCCTTAACATAATGGCCACCATCCATGCAGTCTCATCCGTGTGGCTGCAAAAGACAGGATTTCATTCTTTTTAATGATGAATAATATTCCATTGTGTGTGTATATACATATATATATATCTATATTTTATTGTGTATATATGTATATACACACACATATAAACACACACACACATATATGTGTGTGTGTGTTTATGTGTGTGTGTGTCACATTTTCTTTTTCTATTCTTCCACTAATGAGCATTTAGGCTGATTGCATATTTTGGCTATTGTGAATAATGCTACAATAATGGTGGCAGTGCTTATATCTCTTTGATATATGAATTTCCCTTCTTTTGGTTATATACCCAGTAGTGGAGTTGTTGGGTCATATGGTAGTTCTATTTTTAGTTTTTGAGGAACTTCCACTGAGTTTTCCATAGTGGCTGTACCAGTTCACATTCCCACTAACAGTATATGAGGCTGCCCCTTTTTCTACACCCCTGCCAGAATCTGTTACTCCTTATCTTTTTGATAAAAGCTATTTTAACTCAGGTGAAATGGCATCTCATTGTGGTATTAATTTGCATTTCTCTGATAATTAGTGATGGCATTTTTAAATATAACTGTTGGCCATTTGCTTTTTCTCTTCTAAGAAATGTATATTCAAATATTCGGCTCATTTTAAATTTGATTGATTTATTGCTATTGGGTTGTTTAACCTTTATATGTTCTGATGACTAATGCCTTATTAATTAAATAGTTTGCAAAGGTTTTCTCTCATTCTTGAGTTGTCTCTTCACTTTGTTACTATTTCCTTTGCTGTGCAGAAGTTTTATAGCTTGATGTTATCCCATTTATCTATTTTTGGTTTTGTTGCCTGTGATTTTGAGTTTATACACAAAAAACATTGACCAAGATCAACATCTTGGAACATTTCTTGGTTTTCTTCTAAGAGTTTTATGATTTCAGCTCTTAAATATAAGTTTTAACTATTTTCATTAAGTTTTTGCATATTTTGAGAGATATGGATCCAGAGTTACTATTTTTCAAATGGTTATCCAGTTTTCCCAGCACCAATAACTAAAGACATTGCCTTTTTCCCATTGTATGTTCTTGGCACTTTTGTCAAAATTAGTTGGTTTGTAAAACTGCATAGACTTATCTGTGGATTGTCAATTGTCAATTGGTCTATGTGTCTGTTTAGGTGACAATACCATTTTGATTTGGTAACTACAGCTTTGCAGTATATTTTGAAGTCAGGTTGTTTGATGCCTAAAGCTTTTTTCTTTTTGCTCAGGATTGCTTTAGCTATTTGGATTGTTTGTGGTTCCACATAAATTACAGAAGTTCTTTCTCTATTTCTGTAAAGAATGTCATTGATATTTTGGTAGAAAATTCATTGAATCTGTAATTTACTGTGAGGTCAGGTTGTTATTTTAAATATACTAAATCTTTCAGTATATAAGCATGGCTTTCATTTTTTGTGCATCTTCTTTAATTTCTTTCATTTTGTAGTTTTCTTTGTATAGATCTAGCATTTCTTTGGCTAGATTGATTTCTAGGTATTTTATATTCTTTGTATCTATTTTTAATGGGATTTCTTTTTATTTCATTTGTATATTGTTCACTGTTGTTATATATAAATGATACTAATATTTGAATGTTGATTTTGTATCCTGCAACTTTACAAAATGTGTTTATCATTTCTAAGAGTTTTTGGTGGAGTCTTTAGGTTTTCCTAACTATAAGATTATATTGTCTGTGAATAAAGCCAATTTGACTTCTTTCTTTCCAATTTTGATGCCCTTTATTTATTTCTCCTGCCTAATTGCTCTGGCCAGCACTACCAGTATTATGTTGAAAAAAAAGGGGTGAAAGTTAGCATCCTTGTCTTGCTCCATATCTTAAAGGAAAGGCTTTCAATTTTTTTTCTGATTCATTATGATGTTAACTGTGGTTTATCATAAGTGACCTTTATTACTTTGAGGTTAGTTCTTTCTATTCCTAGTTTGTCAAATATTTTTTTAATCATAAAGAGTTGTTGATTTTTTATTAAATGCTTGTTAAGGATCTATTGATAGAATCATATGATTTTTGTTCTTAGTTCTGTTAATTTAATGTATCACATTTATTAATTTGCATATGTTGAAACAGTGTTTCATCCCTGAAATGAATCCCGTTTGATCATGTGAATGGTGTTTTTAATTTGTTGTTGAATTTAATTCGCTAGTATTATGTTGAGGATTTTTGGATCTATGTCTGTAGGAGATTGGTCAGGGTGGTGGGAAGAATTACAGGGAAAGACGGAAACCTTCTTGGAAGGCCAGGAGGGTTTTCAAAAGCGTCAGTAGAGAATTTAAGCTGAAGGTGGCTAATTCTCTTACCCTGATGCAGAGGGCAACGGGTACATAACAAGGGAATGTAAAGAAACTTATCTAGGTAAATTGGTTTACTTATGTCTCTGGAAACCAACCTTTGATCATTCACGCACAGGATTGCTCTCTACTCAGGGAGTCAGCAATGTTAATTACTGACAAATTGTGTTTGCTCCAGGCCTTTTTCATTATGTCTGTACTAAATAAATGCAAATGGCTCCAGCTTATTGGGGCTGCACTTACATCGTTAGCGATGCTGCACTCTCATTGGAGGGTGCCAAGCAGTGCAGTCCCTTAGCCGGGCTATCAGGTAAAAATATCTGTGTCTGCATACGGCTTTCATCCGTTGCTCTGCCAGGGTCTGCGGGAGGACTCGGCATGTGTCCATCAGTGATATTGGCCTATAGTTTTCTTTTTTTCTTGTACCTGTCTCTGGTTTTAGTATCACAGTAATATTGGCCTTGTAGAATGCATATGAAAGTATTTCTTTCTTGTCAATAGTTTTGAAAATATTAACTGGAATTTGTATTAATTCTTCTTTAAATGTTTGGTAGAATTAAGCATTGAAGCGATTAAGTTCTGTGCTTTTCTTTGATGGGAGACTTCCTTAGGCTTTAATCATGTTATTCATTAGGGTTAATTGAGGTTTTCTACTTCTTTAAGGTTCAATTTTGGTAGTTTTTGTGTCCAGGCATTTATTTATTCACTTATTTTAGGTTTTCTAACTTGTTGGTGTATAGTTATTCATTTATTTTAGGTTTTCTAATATGATGGTGTATAGTTAGTTATTCATAATAGTCTCTAAGGATTCTTTTTATTTCTGTGATCTGTTATCAAATCTCTTATTTTGTATCTGATTTTGTTTATTTTGGAATTCTCTCTTTCTTACTTAGTTATTCCAGGTAAAGTCTGTCAATTTTATTGCCTTTTAAAACTTTTATTTTTGTCTATCTATCTTCTGTATTGTTGTTTTAGTCTCAATTTCATTTATTTCTGCTTCATTAAAAAAATTGTCCTTATGCTAATTTAGAGTTTGGTTTGTTTTTCCTTTTCTAGTCCCCCCGACCCCCTTTTTTTTTTTTTTTTTTTGAGACAGAGCCTTTCTCTGCTTCCCAGACTGGAGTTCAGTGGCATTATCTCAGCTTACTGCAATTTCAACCTCCTCGGTTCAAGCAATTGTCCTGCCTCAGCCTCTGAAGTAGCTGAGATTACAGGTGGGCACCACCATGCCTGGCTAATTTTTGAATTTTTAGTAGAGACAGCGTTTTGCCATGTTGGCCAGGCTGGTCTCAAACTCTGGACCTCAAGTGCTCCGCCCGCCTTGGCCTCCTAAACTGCTGAGATTACAAGCATGAGCCACCACACCCTGCCTTTCTTTTTTAGTTCCTTGATGATCTTTACTAGGTGGTTTATTTAAAGTCTTCCTACTATTTCTAAATAAACATTTATTGCTGTAAACTTCTCTCTTAGTAATGTTTCTGTTCTATTTCACTGATTTTGGTATTTTGTATTTTCATTTGTTTCAAGAGTTTGTTTAATTTTCTTCTTAATATTTTTATTGAACCATTGGTTATTCAGAAACATGTTGTTTAATGTCCATGTGTTGGTGTCTCTTTACAGGCTGCCTTTCTTGTTGATTTTTATTTTTAATACATTGTGGTCAATAAAGACCACAGTGGATGTTTGATTTGATCTCTACATTTTTTAATTAGTTGAGATTTGTTGTGTGGCCTAAGATAGTGTCTATTCCTGGGAGTGTTTCAAGTGCTGGTGAAAAGAATGTGTATTCTCCAGCAATTGGATGAAATGTTCTACAAATGACAGTTACGCTTATTTGGTATAGTGAGTAGGTGAACTCCAATTTATCTTTGTTGATTTTGTGCCTGCATAATCTCTCCATTACTGAGAATTGGGTGTTGAATTTCCATACTATTACTGTATTGCAGTTTATCTCTCTTTTTATATTTATTAAATTTGCTTTATGTACTTGGGAACTCTGGTGTTGTGTACATAAGTGTTTATAATTGTTATTTTGTCTTGATGAATTGACTCCATTATCATTATTTAATACCCTTATTTGTCTCTTTCAACAGTCATTCATTTGTAGTCTACTTTAGCTGATATAATCGTAGCTACCCAGTCTCTTTCTTATGTTCCTGATGCATGGAATATCTTTTTCCATTCCCTTGCTTTCAGTCTATGTGGGTTTTTATTGGTGAAGTGGATTTCTTGTAGGTAATACATCGCTGGATCTTGTTGCTTTATTATCAATTCATTCAGCCACTGTGTGCCTTTTAACAAGATAATTGAGTCAATTTACATTCATTGTTACTGATGAATAAGTACTTAATATTGCTATTATCTTGCCTGTTTTCTCATTTTGTAAGTTCTCTTATTCTTTCTTTCTTAGTAACTTTCTTTGTTGTTAGGTGATTTTCTACAGCAGTAGGTTTTAATTTTTTCATTTCTTTCAGTGAATCTATTATAAGGTTATCCACTGTTATGTCCATAAGGCTTACAAACAATGTCTTATAAGAATAATGTTATATTACAAAGATGACAAATTAACATATTAGAAAGAAAAGATTAGAAACAAACATATGAAACAATAAACTCTACATTTTAACTTCATCTGTCCTACATTTTGACTTTATTTTGTCTCAATTTACATATTTTCTTATTGCTTATTACTAAACAGATTCTATAGCTATTAATGTTTACGATAGGTTTGTCTTTTGGGCTTCATACTAAAGTTATAACTGGATGGCACACCCCAATTACAGTAGTAGTGTATAATGGATTTCCCTGTGTACTTAATTTTTCTATTAGGTTTTATATCTTTAAATTTTTTTTTTGTTTTCTTATACATTAGTGTTTTATTCTTCCAAACTGAAAAACTCCACTAATCATTTCTTGTAAGATGGATCTGGTGGTGGTGTATTCTCTCAGCCCTTGTTTATCTTAGTAAGACTTTATCTCTTTTTCATATTTCAAGTGTCACTCTGCTGGATGCAGTATTCTTGGATAACAGTTTTTTTTTTTTTTTTTCTTTCAGCACTTGGAAAACATTGTCTCACCTCCTCCTGGCCTGTTTGATTTTCATTGAGAAATCTGTTTCCAGAAGAATTAGAGCTCCATTATGTTATTTGCTTCTTTTCTCTTACATTATTAGCATTGTCTCTTTGTTCGTGATCTTTCTGATTTGAGTATTTTTTGCCTTGTCATAGCCTTTTTGTGATCTAGTGTTTTTTTTTACCTGACCTTCTTGTATCTGGATATTAATCTTTTTCTCAAGCACTTGAAAGTTTTCTGCCATTACTTCTTCAAATAAGCTTTCTACCCTCTATCTGAACTCCCTCTTGACACCAATATTTTTAAATTTAGTCTTTTGAGATAATTTTCTATATTTTGTAAGCAATTTTGATTCCTTTTGATTCCTCATTTTCCCCCCCAACTGTATATTTTCCAAGAGCTAGACTTCAAGCTCACTGATTCACTTGTGTGCTTGATTTATTGTGATGTTGAGTCTCCAAGGAATTTTCAGGTTCAGCAAATTTATTTATTAGTTTCAAGCTTTCTGGTTGATTTTTAAAGAATTATTCCAATATTTTTGTTAAATTTATCTGACAAATTTTTAATTGCCTTTCTGTGCTATTTTTTTTTTCAATCAAAAACTGCTATTTTGAATTATTGGTCAGAGGGTTCAAATATTACAGCCTCATTAGGGTCTGACAAAGGTTCCTTGCTTTGTCTGTTTGGGGAGCCCATGGTTCCCTGTTTGTTGTTGTTTCTTGTGGATGTACATCTATACCTTTTTATTTTTGTATTATTTATTTATTTCAGTCTTCTCTTTCTGGCTTATTTGATTTTATTGAATATATTTTTTAGAAATTCTTTAAAATTTTCCTTCCTTCCTTCCTTTCTTTTCTTTCTTCTCATTTTCTTCTGCTATATTTCTCTCTTCTTTTTGGCACTAGATGGCTCCTTGAGCCCAGGCTTGTATCAGTTCTATTGAGTGCCACCATTTTCATATGGGAGTCTGTACTGAGGATACCTGTGGAACAAACTGTTTATAAGTATCCTCAGTACAGACTCCTAGACAGCCATCCTACACTACTGGGATATCCACTTTGGGAGCTCCCCCATGTGAAAATGGTCACAAATATGGACCATGTCCAGATAATGAGATAAAAGAAGTTCAAAAAATTTAAAACCTAGAAAGTATGTTACTGAATTATATAAAAACTCGAAACAGATTTTAAAATTATCAGAGTAAAATTATATTTGAATATTAAACAACAAAATTGTAAATAATCCATTGTGTTGCGGGAAATCAGGGACCCCGAAAGGAGGGACCGGCTGAAGCCATGGTAGAAGAACATAAATTGTGAAGATTTCATGGACATTTCTTAGTTCCCCAAATTAATACTTTAATAATTTCTTATGTCTGTCTTTACTGCAATCTCTGAACACAAATTGTGAAGATTCCATGAACATTTATCACTTTCCCAATCAATACTCTTGTGATTTCCTATGCCTGTCTTTAATCTCTTAATCCCATCATCTTCGTAAGCTGAGGATGAATGTCACCTCAGGACCCTGTGATGATTGTGTTAACTGCACAGATTGTTTAAACAATATGAAATCTGGACACCTTGAAAAAAGAACAGGATAACAGTGATGTTCAGGGAACAAGGGAGATAACCTTAAAGTCTGGCTGCCTGTGGGCAGGGCAATTCAGAGCCATATTTCTCTTATTACCAAAAATGGGTAAGATAATTTTGGCTGAATTCTTTGCCCGGTAAGGAATATTAATAATTAGCAGCCCTGGGAAAAGAATGCATTCCCAGGGTGTGGCCTCTAAAATGGCCACCCTGGGAGTGTCTGCCTTTATGCAGATGCAGATAGGGATGAAACATGCCCTAGTCTCCTGCAGTGCCCCCAGGCTTGCTAGGATTAGGAAATTCCAGCCTGGCAAATTCTAGTCAGACTGGTTCTCTGCTCTTGAACTCTGACAATGCATGCACAGAGGGACATGAAATTTCATTATTGATTCTAGTTTTGCCCTGACCTTCTGCCTTGTGATCTTTTGTCGCTCTTGAAGCATGTGATCTCTGTGACCCACACCCTATTCGTGTACTCCCTTCCCGTTGAAAATTGCTAATAAAAACTTGCTGGTTTTACGGCTCAGTGGGCATCACAGAACCTGCTGACATGTGATGTCTCCCCTGGACATTCAGCTTTAAAATTTATCTTTTGTACTCTTTCCCTTTATTTCTCAGACTGGCTGACACTTAGGGAAAATAGATAAGAACCCACGTGAAATATCGGGGGTGAATTTCCCCTGATACCGTTGGTTAAATAAGAGCTCAGAAAGAAAATGAGAAAGTAGCTCATATCAAATAAAAATATAAACACAAAATATTAAAGTGTGTGAGATGTAGCTAAAACACTGTTTGCAGGGAAATTGTAATATTCAATGCTTATATTTGAAAAAAAATCCCATGACTATCTAATGTTCTAGCATAAGAAATTAGAAAAAAATTATAAAGATTCTATGCAAGTAGAAAAAGAGGGAACATGGGCAGAAATCAACAAAACTGAGCATAGATAAAAAATGTACAAAAATCAATGAAACCAAATGCTGGTTCTTTGACAAGATAAATAAAATCAGAAACTTCCAGCCAGACTGCCCAAGTTAACAGTGAAGGAGCTTTCAAGTATAAATAATAGCACAGAATATGAATTATTCTTGCATACCTTCAAGATTAAATAAATAAAATTAAAATATTTTATGAGCAGTTATATGCCTATAAATTGACAGCTTATGAGAAATAGACAAATTCCTTGAAAGACACAAATTGCCAAAGTTCGCTCAAGAACAACTGATAAACTGAAAGATCCTGTATTTATTAAACAAATAGCATTCATATGTAAAACTCTGCACTGAAACTGGAACCCTTCCTTACACCTTATACAAAAATTAACTCAAAATGGATTAAATATTTAAACCTAAGACATAAAACCATAAAAACCCTAGAAGAAATCCTAGGCAATACCATTCAGGACATAGGCATGGGCAAAGACTTCATGACCAAAACACAAAAAGTAATGGCAACACAAGCCAAAATTGACAAATGGGATCTAATTAAACTAAAGAGCTTCTGCACAGCAAAAGAAACTATCATCAGAGTGAACAGGCAACCTGCAGAATGGGAGAAAAATTTTGCAATCTATCCTTCTGACAAAGGGCTAATATCCATAATCTACAAGGGACTTAAACGAATTTACAAGAATAAAACAACCCCATCAAAAAGTGGGCGAAGGATATGAACAGACAATTCTCAAAAGAAGACATTTATGCAGCCAACAAACATATGAAAAAAAGCTCATCATCACTAGTCATTAGAGAAACGCAAATCAAAACCACAATGAGATACCATCTCACGCCAGTTAGGCAATCATTAAAAAGTCTGGAAACAACAGATGATGGAGAGGATGTGGAGAAATAGGAATGCTTTTACACTGTTGGTGGGAGTGTAAATTAGTTCAACCACTGTGGAAGACAGTATGGGGATTCCTCAAGAATCTAGAACCAGAAATACCATTTGACTCAGCAATACCATTACTGGGTATAGACCCAAAGGATTATAAATCATTCTACTATAAAGACACATGCACATATTTGTTTATTGCAGCACTATTCACAATAGCAAAGACTTGGAACCAACCCAAATGTCCATCAAAGATAGACTGGATAAAGAAAATGTGGCATGTATACACCATGGAATACTATGCAGCCTTAAAAAAGGATGAGTTCTTGTCCTTTGCAGGGACATGGATGAAGCTGGAAATCATCATTCTCAGCAAACTAACACAAGAACAGAAAACCAAACACCACATGTTCTCACTCATAAGTGGGAGTTGAACAATAAGAACACATGGACACAGGGATAGAAACATCACACATGAGGGCCTGTCGAGGGGTAAGGGGTTAGGGGAGGGATAGCATTAGGGGAAACACCTTATGTAGATGACAGTTTGAAGGGTGTAGCAAACCACCATGGCACGTGTATACTTATGTAACAAACCTGCATGTTCTGCACATGTATCCCAGAACTTAAAGTATATTAAAAATAAAAAATAAAATAAAACCACAATTAGATACTATTTCATACTTTTTAGAATAGCTATAATTTAAAAACTAAAAATAATTAAAGCGGCAATACCAAGTGCTAGCAAGGGTTTAGAGTACTAATACTTCACAATTAGTTGAAAGCAAAGCAAAATGACAGTCACTTTAAAAACCAATTCAGCAGTTTTTAACAAACTTTTATTAAACATACACTTTTATTACCTGAAGCAGGTATCCTACTTGATTTAGTTTGGATTTTTGTCCCCACCAAATCTCCTGTTGAAATATGACTGTCCCATGTTGGAAGTGGGACCTAGTGAGAGGTATTTGGGTCATGGAAGTTTATCCTTCATGAATGGTTTGGTGCACTCCCTGTGGTAATGAGTTCTTGGTATGTTAGCTCAAACATGAGCTGGTTGTTTAAAAGTGCTTGGCAACCCCTCCTTTCTCTTTCTCCCTCTCTCTCCATGTGACTCACTGGCTCCCCTTGCTTTCTGCCTTCAGTAAAAGATTTCTGCGGCCCTCACTAGAAGCAGATGACAGCACTATACTTCTTATACAGTCTGCAGATACGTGAGTCAAACAAACCTCTTTTCTTCATAAATTAGCCAGCCTCAGGTACTCCTTTATAGCAATGCAAAATGGACCAACACACTACTCTTAGTCGTTTATCAAAGCGAACTAAAAACTTATATTTACACAAAAACCTACCTCTACATGTTAACAGCAGTTTTAGACTTTCATTGCTAAGAATCCAAAGCAATTTTAATGTCCCTCAACTGGGGAATGGATAAACAGATGAAACAAATTTATCTAATAGAAACTAAACAAAACACACAGCAGATACACATACCAATATGGATGACTCTGCAACACATTATGTTATGTGAAATAAGGCAGGCCTAAAAGGCTACATATTGGATGATTTTACATACATGTTGTTCTAAAAATAACAAAACTCTAGTATCTAAAAATAGCAAATATATCACAAAATAGAGCTGGTAGTGGGGAGAGGGTTTGACTATAATAGGACAGGGAAATCTTGCCCAGTATTGGAACTATTCTGTATCTTGATTGAGGTCTGATTACATGTCTGTATGGATTTATCAAAACTTGTAGATATGTGCAATAAAAAGATTAATATACTGGTATGCATATTATACCTCATGAAACAAAATGGAATAAAACCAAATGGTTGAAGTGGCCATTATAGACAAAATAGTTTTTAAAAATAGAGTTTTCTGTTATTTAATAAAATGTATAGCAATATGTAGTTAACATTACATGAATAATGTATACACAAAATTGTATATGGTTTTAAAAAATGAATATTAAGAAGGAATATTTTATTCAAAAGGTTCCAAAAAAAAGATTTAAAATACAGAAGAATCAGTGGTGGGGGCACAGGAAGATCTATAGGGCAAGAGCTTAAGAGTAGATTTTTTTTTCACCAAGAGATGCCTTTTTTTAAAAAACAGGCAAAATATATGAACAGACAACTCACAAAATTGATAAGCAGTCAGCAAATAAGTATATAAGAATTCTCTCATCATATGTCATTAGAGAATTGCAAATGGGAACAACAATGAGACACTACAATGCACCATTAAGATGATTAAAATTCAAAATACTAATATCAAATATTGGTAAAGATGTGGAGCAACAGGGCTCACATTCTTTGTTGATGGAAATGCAAAATGGTACAGCCACTTTGGAAGACAGTTTGGCACTTTCTTACAAAACTAAATATACTCTTATCACATGACTACCAGTGGTGCTCCTGGATACTTACCCAAAGAATTAAACCTTATGACTACAAATTAACCTACACAGAAATGTTTACAGCAACTTTATTCATAATTGCCAACACCTGGAAACAACCAAGACGTCCTTCAATATGTGAATGCATAAACAAACTATGGTAAAACCACACAATGGAGTAGAAATGTAAATTAAATACAAAGCCATGGAAAAAAACATGAAGGAAACTTACATGCTTATTGCTAAGTGAGAGAATCCAATTGAAATTGTATATACTATATAATTCTAACTATATGACATTCTGGCAAAGACAAAACTCTAGAGACAGAAAAAAAATTAAATGTTTCCAAGGCTCCCAAGGAAGAGATAAATAGGTGAAACAGGGCAAATTATTAAGGTAGTGAAACCATTCTGTATGATATTATAATGGTGGATACATGTAATTATACATTTATCAAAACCCATCAAATGTATTAGGTTGGTGCAGAAGTAATTGCAGTTTTTGCCATTACTTTTAACAGCAAAAAATGCAATAACTTTTGCACCAACCTAATACAGCACAAAGGTTAAACCCTAACGTAATCCATTGACTTTAGTTAATAATAATATATCAATATTAGTTCATCAATTATGACAAATGTATCACAACAATGCAGGATGTTAACAAAAGTGGAAACTGAAAGAGGGAATATTAGGGGATTTATGGGAACTCTTACTCTATAATATCTTTGTAAACAAAAAAATTATTATTTTTGAGCAAAAAAGAAATAAAATTTATTAAGACTAAACCAAAACAAAAATGTCTGTGCTGAACACTTACTTGTCTGTGCTGGACACGTAGAGTCACATTCGACTTAGTTACAAACTTGCTTTGTCAATGTAAAAATGAATAATATAAACAATGATACAGTTCCAAAAATGCTTAACCTGACGGACAGGAATTTTTAACCATACACAATCAGTGGAGTTGTTTATTTGAGTATGTGGTGATATAAGAATCATTCTTTGCACATCAGAGCAGGCAGTCAGCAGTAATATGCTTGAATGACTAGGACTTGGAGGTACTAGAGCAGGATTAATATTGCTTCTAATTTACAGAGAGTTAATTGTCCAGAAAACGTAGTAAACATAGAAAAGACACAATCACTTCACAAGTGAGTTACACTTCTCACGGAAATATAATAAAATAAAATAATACATAAAAAATTAAAAATCAGGCACGCTGCCTTTTGGACATATGAGTTATGTAGATGGTATACTAATGACAGCAACAGTAACGGCCAAGTAATATATATAAAATATGACTCAGGAGTACACTGATAACAAATCACAAAGAAGGAAAAGTTGAAGATGCTTGCAGCTGTAATGCCTTTCATTAGAAACACAGGAGAAGGAAGTTCAAAATTAAAGCTTTTCACAATGGGTAAAAATGGAAAGGCTCAAAGTGATAAGTAAAAATTCCTTTTGGAGGGAGCTCCCTTTTTACCACATGTGCTCATCTATATTGGAGACATTGAGCTAGAGTAACTTTCAGGATAGATACATGTTGGTTTTGTCAAGGAGGGAGGAAAGATTGGGAGAAAGCATTATTAGAGCATTGAATGATATATGTACAGTTGGATTTAATTAGGGCAAAGTGATAAGTGATGGTTTTAGCACAAGAATTAACACAGATGGTAAAAAAAAGACAAATTTAGTATCTTCAATCTGGAAAATGTCGGGCTTAGCATAGATAATGAAGTCCTAGAAAATACAGATGAAATAAAGGCTCTACTTGAAATGGTAAATGATTCTAGGAAGGAAAGCATGCATACACTATCCTTGGAATTTCTAAATAGATAATGACTATATTAGCTTAGGTCAGGTTCTCTGCTATAACAACTTAATGAGTCCAAAAATTGAAAACTTCTGGCAAGATAATAAATATTAAGCTGAAAAGGTTAGACTGTTATTTTAGAATGAAAATCATAAAGTATAATGGCAACAATTCAAATTTTAAATTACTTGTTATTAAACGCCTTGCCACAAAATATATAACCTAGTCCATTTTAAATTGTTAGTTAAATCTATAGATAATATTTAGAAAATATGAGCTTCATTTATTATTTATTTCTTGGATTGTGTATTTTCCAAATTATTGCTGGAAAAAATTGGTTATCTGTATTTTTATACAATATCAATTCTATGTCAAATCCTATCATAAACATAATTGATATACTACTATTTAATGCTGAGGTATCTGAAAGGTGTTATCAATGGAAAAAACTTGTAGTTTTAAACTAAAGGAGAAATTGATACTAGCTTTTTAATGGAAGAACGAAAGTAATTTTTTTTTTTTTTAAACGGAGCTTCACTCTTTTTTCCCAGGCTGGAGTGCAATGGCGCGTAATCTCACCATAACCTCCGCCTCCTGGGTTCAAGCGATTCTCCTGCCTCAGCCTCCCAAGAGAACAACAGTAATTTATACAGAGAGAGAGAGAGAGAGAGAGAGAGAGAGAGAGGGGGGGAGGGGGGGGAGGGAGAGAGAGAGAGAGAGGGAGGGAGAGAGAGACAGAGAGAGAGAGAGAGAGAGAGAGATTTTGATGCCAAAAAAATAAGCTAAATATCATTATAGCCATGATACAGAAGAAAAAATGTAAGCAGCAATGAAGACTGCAGTCTTAGGACTACCAGGGTTTAGTCCATGCACAAGCAATTAGAGTTGTATTCATTTTAGAATAAAGCTGCCTCTAGTTATTCAGAATGTTGGAACCAGGCAACATTTAAAGCAGAGGCTGCTGTTTATCTCCTCTGCTCAGAAAGGAGGTCGAAACAATCTGTAATCAACTTTTCCCTGAAATGTTCGTCTATATGAGCAGGAGAAAGGCAAGTCCAGCTGACTCTATTTCATTAACCCCATCCTACCATTGTGGGCAGACAACGTCAAACCACCTGTAAATGAGCTGGTTCTTTAGAGGAAAATCAGAGTCTAGGGGGAGGCTACAGAGATGAAAAAAAAAAAAAAAGGTAAGACAAAAAGTAAAGAAAACAAACAAAACAATAGGTTAGCTGATGCGATGAAGAGAGAAACAAATTAATGCTTGCTAAATATGAAAACAAAAATCCAAAAAATGAATAAAATAAACACTAATAAAGTTTTAAACATAAAAACAATTAAAATATATCATTAAATATATCATTAAATGTTATATCAATGTGAAAATCATTTAAAAATAAGTAGATACACCATGTACATGGATGATGTACAATTCACCTGAAATTATATTTTTCTGAACAGTGTGAGCTAGAGGTAGTTTCATTTTTTTCTGAATAATCAGTTGTCAAAGAATGAGTTATTGAAATATTCTTCCTTTTCCCATTTCTATGTAGAGCTAAACTGATCACAAATCAAGCAACAACGTGTTTGAATTTGTTTATGAGCTCTCTGTTCTGTTAGTTTGGTTTATTCACTTATTTTCATACAGTGTATTTTAACTGTTATAATTTTATTACAAATTTGTATATTTCATTATTATTTCTTTCTTTAAAAAGGCCTTAACTATTTATGGTTATTGTACCTCCTGTGAATGTAGCAATTAGCTTGGAAAATTTTAATTGTTTTTTGAAATTCTGATTGACATTGCATTGTATCCTAAAGTAATATGGAATAAATTTACATGTTCAAAATAATAAATTTCCAATTCGTGAGCAAGATCTATCTCCCCACTTAATTAGGTATTTTTTTCAATAGCGTTGTATAATTTTAGGTTATTCTAAGTTATTTAATATTTTTGGTGATATTGAAAATAGTGTCTTCCTGAAAACATTTGCTTTTCCAAATTAATTGAAGAAACAATTACTTTCATTTAATAGTACATATAGCCATCATTATGTTATGTATTTCTTTACTTATTTAGTACTTTTTAATTTTCAGATGCTCTCACTAAAATATTAGTTTCCTGAGGCACTATGGCTTTATCATTCTGTTTCCAGTATCTTAAAAAGTCTGACATACAACTGATCTAAATAAAGATTAAGTGAACAAATAATTTGTTGAATTAATTAATGAATGTATAAACATTTAGAAACCATCCTTTTTAAAAATCCAATTAGTAAGGTCTCATGAAAAATCGTATTCAATTCTCATGGTCGCTTAATAGATTTGAATTTATTGATTTTTAACAACCTTAGTTCAGGGCATCCTCCATCCCACTACGACTTTAAACATGTACTTTGTCCCACCTTTATATTTAGTGAAATATCACTTCCTTTCCTTTCATTATTCCCTTTTCCAATCTCCCTCAATCATGGCTAGTTCTGTGTAAAGAATATAATAGTAACAATAGAAGAAGTGAGAAACAGTCAAGGGAAAATGATCAGGATTTACAAATAGACAATCATTTCAATTCTTTCTTTCATTATCTGTTCCCAAAAACTCTTCAATAACGAGTTTAAAGGTCCAGTAATGTGCCGGGAGCGGTGGTTCACGCCTGTAATCCCAGCACTCGGGGAGGCCGAGGCGGGCGGATCACGAGGTCAAGAGATTGAGACAAGTCTGGCCAACATGGTGAAATCCCGTCTCTACTAAAAATAAAAATTCGCTGGGTGTGGTGGTGGGTGCCTGTAGTCTCAGGTACTCGAGAGGCTGAGGCAGGAGAAAGGCATGAACCCGGGAGGCGGAGGTTGCAGTGAGCCGAGATTGCACCACTGCACTCCAGCCTGGGCGACAGAGCAAGCAACTCAAAAAAAAAAAAAAAAAAAAAAAAAAAAAAATCTGGTAATGTACAATGTTATGTAGTAGAAAGGAAACTTTGAATTTGATGTTTATACTCATACAGTTAAGGAAAATATCCAAAACTTCTCAGAAGCAAAATAGATATAAACAAAACAAAAGCATTATCCTTTTTAATTCATGCGACAACATGCTGCTTTCTGTGACGATCATTGCAGGATATCTCTTTGAGTTAATTTTGATCCAGTGTTCTTTGAGTTCATTTTGACTTTTTTTTTTTTCTAATTGAAATTGGTGCCTGATAACTAAGAACAAGTGAGAGCTAAAGTCCTTTATAACATTTATAGGATTTTACTCTCTCATTGGCGTGCTTCATCTACGGTAAATATTTTGGCTGAGTATAACTCTCTACCAAAGAAGTAGCAGCCAGTTCCCAATTCCTATCCTAGACCTGCAGAGAACAATTATAAAATATTGCTACTCATATCATATTTTGTAACTCTTCTACATAGAAAAAGCAAAATCTCTTGAAGTCATGGAGCTCTCCAAGTTGTTTCTGGACACATATCAACTGTTCTTTCAAATATGCCTGATATTAATTTTTTCTATTAAATAAAGGAAACAACTACACCAGCAGGACAAAAAACTATTTTGCAGTTCTTGCTGTGAAGGAAAGAATGGCAGTTTATATATCTGGCAAATGATAGGCCTCTCTACTGAGACTTCCAACAAAGGTGTTAAATGCATCTCAAAAGACTTGATACTATTCAATTCTTACGGTTGGCCTCCTATTTCATCTTTGAAAATATACTACATAATATAAAAATAATGGAAAATAAAGAGAGTTATTGGGAAGTTAGGCTTTTCACATGATTAAAGAGCTCACCATCTTTAAAAAGGAGAGTAAAAGTTAAGACTAAAAAATACAGAAACTGGAATATAAATCCAGTATTGAAAATGTAAATTAGAGTTACACATAGGAAGCGAAAATGAGAAAGCATGATTCTTCAGTTTATCAAAGTAGATAATGATTGGTGACTATTTCAGGATACCAATAAAGGAAAATGCCCAGTCATAAAATCTCAAACAGGATTAACTATATATACATTACTTTAAGAAAGCACCATAAACACATAGAAATCTGAACTGCAGGATTTGTTTTGTCTCTCTGTTATAAATAACTTTTAATGTTATACTATTAACCTCAGATGACACCAGGTTAGAAAAATATACAAATAACTAAATATTCCCAATAGTTTTTATGAATACAAAGAGCAATAAGAAGCTTTGATTTTACTTCTACTACAATCTTTTTCATTCATATACTATTCATTCAGCCAAAATGGATTTGGAAACTATAATGAGTATGCAATTTACGATATTCTTCCCACATACAGAAAAATACAGAAATTGTCTCCATTTTTTGAGATCTTTACATTTTATTTAGGATGATAAAAGATATGGATTTGAAAAATTAGGAAAATATTTAAATACTAACAAATGAATGAAAATTATATGAGTAAGAATTTAAAACATTATGTTCCAAATTTTTCACATAGCACTCACAAAAATGATGATGTTTATGGCAGGCTAAGGTAGGGTTCCAGAATGGAACTTGTAGCTGGATCAATTCAGGACCACACTAGTTTCCATCTGGATGCTAAAGGGAGTAATTGCTCAGCACAGCTGCAATTCCTTTACGGTACACCCGTCTGTACTGCCCAAGTCACATCAGCTGTCATGTTTTGACTTAAGTAGTACCCAAAAGGGGGACTGATAGAAAATATCATCTTGCATTTGTTGACTACTGAATCTTATTTTCAATACACATGAATTCATAGATGAACATTCTCGATTAAGATGATAATGGAAGAATGCATGGTGAGAAGATGTGGAGGAAGAAAGAATTGCATTTAAAGAAAATAGACAACTTAGGTTAGGCCATAAATGAGGCTATGAAGATGCTTATAAAGAATGTGGTGAGGAAATCTGTAATTTCAGTAGAAGCCACAATTCAATATGATGAACTAAGATTTTATGTGATCCCCAAAAACAAGTTGAAGAGAATTCATTTAGAATATTTGAGAATTATCTGACAGTTTTGGGAGACAGTTTTTGATTTGAAGTTGTTGCCAAAGATATTGTGTATTGCTGAAATCTATAAATTTGCCTGCAAGCTGGCTAAAACTTATGAGCAATTCTGCATTTAGTACATTATTAAATAATCTAAACTCCTGTCTTCTTATAGGCAGAGCCTTGAGCCAAATTTGCATGACTACAACAGCAGCCATTTTGAATACAGTTTTGTTTGTAGCTCATTTTCTCTAAAGCATCATCACAAATATCAACTAAACTTAAATGCTACTTTACTTTTGTAAAATTAAATGTTATCAAATTTGAAAAACATAAAGGATAATTCCAGATAAACTTTATATACTTGAAAAAAATCATTAGTTGGATGTCTCAGGAATGCGTGTCTCATCAATTAATAAGAACATGTTCTGGATTTGGCCCATTGTCTTTGGGATCTTTAACATATTCTCATATATGCAAGAACAGGCACATACACGATTGAATTATAGTAGTGAAAGTATTCCTTGGAATACCTTAATCCACTTTACAAGACCAAGCACATGGTTAGAAGAAGGCTTCTATATTAATGCTCCACCTTCACTCTGCTTCTTCTTCAAGTTAGCCATTAAATCTTGAACATTTTGTGTGAACTTTTGGTAAATGTTCACAAATTATTTTGATTTCTTTTGAATAGCTTCATATATCTTTTGAGAAGAACTGGGAATTTGTTAAAATTTCTTACTTAAGTGAATTGGGATATTAATATGATAAGGCAGTTTTAGAACTCATTACTGGAATTAATGATACAATATTAAGTTATTATGAATTGCTATAAAAGCTAAACATACATGTAAAAATTAATATATTTATTTCCTTAAAAAAGAATATATGTGAAGAGCCTTAGAGAAGCAGTGAGTCAAGGTTGGGCATGGGGGCTTGCCCAGAACTTTGGGAGGCCGAGCGGGGAGGATTGCTTGAGCCCAGGAGTTTGAGAACAGCCTGGGCAACATAATGAGACCCCATTTCTACAAAAAAAAATAAACTAACAACAACAACAAATAACATTAGCTCGATATGGACTTCCCTAGTCCCAGCTACTAGGGAAGCTGAGGTGAAAGGATGGCTTGCGCCTGGGAAGTCAAGACTGCAGTGAGCCATGACCACGCTGCTGCACTCCAGCCTGGGTGACAGCAAAATCCTCTCTCTCCAAAAATGAAAAAAAGTGACAGAGACAGAGAGAGAAAGGGAGAGAGAGAATATCAGTGATTCAAATTCTGAAAAGTAAAGGGTTTAAAAATTTGCTTAATTATATGAACATATAAGTAATAAAAAACATAAGATCCTCTGTGGAAAAACTAATTAAACCTTATTTTGGATTTTCTCATTACCATCATTGACAAGTGTGTTTCATACACAGGAACAGGTTTTAATCAACTTTCTATGTTGCATAAAATCTATTACGGTAAACATTTTAATGCACAATAGAATTTTATTTTGGTTATTCATTCAGTGTATGACCTCATACACTTAAAATTCTTGAAATGTCTAACCTTTAAAAGTGTCCATGTCTGGCATGCAGATTATGTGTGCCCTTATTTTTTAATTCTGTTGCTGACTTTATATTAACAACAAAAATATGTTCTCTCATGTAAGCTGCATTTAAGTTCGAGTTTTGAACCAGAGCATGGATAAGTACTGGATTTCTTTTTTCCAATTAACCTATATCAAGAGATCTGGTCACAAGCTTCGATACCTAAATAAGCTTTGTGAATGTAATAGGATAAGATAATATGACAGCAGCATACTAATATAGTTTATTTTGTTAGAAACCAATTGGGGTGATTTGTATGTCAAAGCAGCTGGGCAAAGCAGTTCAATGTTAAAGTACTAATAGGGTGGGAGGCAGGGCCATCATGTCCTGTGTTCCTTTATAGAACGAATCATTGTTCCACATTGAATCTTTGCAATGCAGTGTAAAGGATGCTGACACAATCAATAATTCCCTCTTGGAAAAAAAAATGTTCAAAGATTCTATGTGAATAACATTATCCTATTTTCTCAAAAGCCCTTTCCTGCATCAAGTAATATGGCTTCAGACAAGGATTCCAACTGAGATGTGGCATAAAAAAGATTACAAGGATTCAGTAGATCAGCAGGAAGCACAAAAAGAAGGCATCCTTTCTTGCAACTAGCTTGATTAAACCTAATGATCTAAGATGAAATTAAGATAGCTAACTTATTACCAGTATCCCCCCTGAGAGTTTGCTTTTCTGTTTGTCCAAATTGAATAAATAAATACCTGTTACATATTCCAAGAAGGTTCTGTTTTCAAATATTTTATAGAAATCAGAGTCTTTATTCTTGATTGTTCTGTAAAGCATCCATCATGAAAACAGGAATGATTACCTCTTACGCTTTTGGTGGAAAGTCCCTGTGACTCTGTTGTCAATCCTCCATGCCTCATAAAACTTAAGGAAGTGAAACTTTTATTTATCATCTTCTTTAAAATGACTAACAAATAAAAATACTTGGTTAATATGGTAATTTTTTTGTTTATTCAATAAAAAATTCTCTCGTCAATATTAAATAAATATTAAGCAAATTTTATTTTATCTGATTATTTAACATCAAATTATTCCCACATGTATTGATCCTTGATTAGTTTGTAAAGAAATAAGTGGCTATGGACAAATAGGAAATCCAATTTCTTTCTTAGGTAACAATTGCACATTAAAGTTTTCCATGTATAGTCATACTATATATTCCTTATAATTTCAGATTTAATGGCGTTGCTCTCCTCCTTTATATTTTATGGTATATTTGAAAAGAAATTGGACACAGTTAACAGCAGTTGATTTGGAGCCAAAAGATTTTGGCAGCATCTACAAACGTACTGATAACCCCATTAACTGAACCATTGCTTTTCATCATTATGAAGACATTACCATGAAAGTCCAGCCAACACTTGAAATAGGATATGAGCCATAGTGTCTAGGATAATAAGAAGACTAAATTCTCATCACTGGAAGTGACCCAATTATATTTCACTATAAATAACATCTTTTAGAGCAACACCTGGTAGCAATATAGATATTATACAGACATTTTTCAAGATAGTCTTTTTCATTATTTCAAAAGGATTCATTTCTCCCACATGGTTGTCAGACCAAATGGTGCTTAGTTGATATCTAATGCAAGTTGGAAATACATTGAATTTGCACAACTGGATACTATAATGCTAAAATGAGTTGAACTATCTTAGCTTAATATACATGGACTAGCAAACATGGAGGCTTATTCTAGGCTGTCCCATCATCAAACTTACATACCTACCTCTCCTACTAATGATCATATCTCTATACCATTTTGGAATTATAGTCATAGGCTCTGTAGCATGAATAGATTTCCATATAGTCAATTTCTAATTGTACATAGTTGACTTCCTTTAAAACTATAGATTCATTATTTGAATTAAATATAACACCCAACGATAATGCTGGCCAGGGTTCCTAAAAGATTTCAAATTTCATATAATTCTAGCATTTGTGAATGATTCCTAAGTTATCTTATTGCAGCCAAGAATGCCTAATATAGTATTATTTTTAGAAAAACGGTCACTGATACCTGTTCATGTTCTTTCAAATCATGTCTAGCATATAATATACACATAAACTGCTAATGGTGTTTATATATTCCAAGTGCTCATGTAATATTTGAAAAATACAATTAAGTCTACAAAACTGAGCAAATATAATTATGGAATAGATATACGTGTATAGGCAGCTATTATAAAATCGAAATTTAAATGACAGTAAGACTTATTGCCAAGTAGGTATATTTGAGTTTTTGACATTAGCTATTCTCAAATATAATCTTGTGTGTGTGTGTGTGTGTGTGTGTGTGTGTGTGTGTGTTTTAATATGTTCTTTGCTCTCTTTTTGTCTTCAGGCCTCCACTTTATGGAGCTTAATGTAAATATGTTTATATCAATAAACTAAATCTATATACTTAGCTGTTTTAGCCCAATTTACATTTTGAGCCTTAGCTGTATTTATAAATTAAAATAATTTGAATTTGTCAAAGGTTTTTGTGATATTAATTTTGATAAGGCAAAGACATTTGAGGGGGAGGGCAGAGAACGTTCCAACATCATGGAACAGTCTGAAATCAGAAACAAAATAAATCATTCATTTGATAATTTAATCAATATAAATTAGTTTGCCCAAACCTTATTTTCATCTAACAATACAAAATAATAAAGATAACAGAGTAGATATCATTCCGCCTTAAAGCTCACAGAGGTAGAAGAGCCCACAACCCTCACAGGAACTTTTACTCATCTCTCATCTGAACCAGCCTACAAACATTGCTTTATGACCCAGAATAAAATGGCTCTGCAGAAAACCCGCTTTTCTCCACAGATACTGTTTTTCATGAATGTAAATATATATATATATATATACACACACACACAATTTTATAAGAAAGATAAAACCTTCTGCATTAGGTAGTTTTATAGATTGTTCCAGCAAGAAACAGATATATTTCTGGATATAGGGATGAAATACCCAAAATATGTTGTGTTTTGAGGAAGTAAGCTGGTTGTTAAAAAATTTGATATAGAAGTCTTGATTTTAAATAAATATTACCTTTAACTATTAAGTAAAGTTTTAGATTTTCTTTAAAGGCAATTAGAAATGACTGGATATTAAATATTTCCTATAAATTCAACCAATAAAAAACTACGTAGTTACATTTATTTTTTGTAACTAACAAACACTACAATCAGTTTATACATCAAGGTATTCAAAACATGCAACAATGCCTCCGAAACCAAACAGGAACATGAAAACGTCACAGGTTTCTATAACTTTATATTACTATTAAAATATGTATTTTGACAGCCATTTGCCTTTAGACTTACAACATTATAACGTTAGTGTTGAAAAACATAACTATTATTATATTTCTAATCTATCACATATTCTTTTCTAAAATTAGAAGTAATATGATTATATATAAAAAAATTCAGATAAGATTGCAATTTTCTTATTTTTTTCAGTTCCTCTTAGAAAAATAGAAATACATCCTTATTTCTACCCCACAGTAATAACAATTGAAAACTTAAAAAGAATTTTGCAATAATATCTGAGAATATTCCCAGGGGTGGCTGAATTCATGCAACATCAAAAATAGCAGCAGCAGCAGCAGCAGCAAAAAAAAGAACTAACTTATGCTTTCATCAGATACCTGATAAGGTTTGACTGTGTCCCCACCAAAATCTCATCTTGAATTGTAGTTCACATAATACACACATTTGGTTAGAGGGACCCGGTGGGAGGTAATTGAATCATGGGGGCTGTTTCCCCCATGCTATTGTCATGATAGTGAGTAAGTTCTCATGAGATTTCATGGTTTTATAAGGGGCTTCCAGCTTCACTCACTCTCATTCTTCTCCTTCCTGCTGCCTTATGAAGAAGGATGTATTTGCTTCCCCTTCCATCATGATTATAAGTTTCCTGAGGCCTCCCCAGCCCTATGGAACTATGAGTCAATTAAACTGCTTTCCTTTATAATTTACCCAGTCTCAGACAGTTCTTTTTTTTATTTATTATTATACTTTAAGTTTTAGGGTACATGTGCACAATGTGTAGGTTAGTTACATATGTATACATGTGACATGCTGGTGCACTGCACCCACTAACTCGTCATCTAGCATTAGGTATGTCTCCCAATGCTATCCCTCCCCCCTCCACCCACCCCACAACAGTCCCCAGAGTGTGATGTTCCCCTTCCTGTGTCCATGTGTTCTCATTGTTCAATTCCCACCTATGAGTGAGAATATGCGGTGTTTGGTTTTTTGTTCTTGCGATAGTTTACTGAGAATGATGATTTCCAATTTCATCCATGTCCCTACAAAGGACATGAACTCATCATTTTTTATGGCTGCATAGTATTCCATGGTGTATATGTGCCACATTTTCTTAATCCAGTCTATCATTGTTGGACATTTGGGCTGGTTCCAAGTCTTTGCTATTGTGAATAATGCCGCAACAAACATACATGTGCATGTGTCTTTATAGCAGCATGATTTATAGTCCTTTGGGTATATACCCAGTAATGGGATGACTGGGTCAAATATAGCAGCGTGAGAATGGGCTAATACAGTAAAATGGTACTGCAGAGAGTGGGGCACTGCAGTAAAGATAACCAGAAAGGTGGAAGTGACTTTGGAACTGTGTAACAGTCAAAGGTTGGAACAGTTTGGAGGCCTCAGAGTGCAGGAAAATGTGGGAAAGTTTGGAACTTCCCAGACACTTGTTGAATGGCTTTGACCTTGTTGAATGAGGTCTAAGCTGAGGTAGTCTTAGATGGAGATGAGGAACTAGTTGGGAACTCGAATAAAGTTGACTCTTGCTACGTTTTAGCAAAGAGACTGGTGGCATTTTGCCCCTGTCCTAGAGATATGTGGAACTTTGAACTTGAGGGAGATGAATTAGGGTATCTGGTAGAACAAATTGCCAAGCAGCAAAGCATTCAAGATGTGATTTGGGTGCTAGTAAAAGCATTCAGTTTTATGTTTTCACAAAGTATGGTATGGAATTGGAACTTATATTTAAAAGGGAAGCAGAGCATAAAAGTTCAAAAAAATTTGCAGCCTGACCATGCAATAGAAAAAAAAAAAAAATTCCAAGGAGAAATTCAAGCCAGCTGTAGAAATTTGCGAAGTAATGATGAGCCAAATGTTAATGGCCAAGGCAATGGGGAAAATGTCTGCAAGACATTTCAGAGGTCTTTACAGCAGCCCCTCTCATCACAGGCGCAGAGTCCTAGGAGGAATGAATGACTTCGTGAGCTGGGTTCATGACCTGGGTCCAGAGCCTTGCTGCTTCGTGCAGTCTTGGGACTTGGTGCCCTGCATCCCAACCATGCCAAAAAGGGGCCAACATAGAGCTCAGGCCGTTGCTTCAGAGGGTGCAAGCCCCAAGCCTTGGCAGCTTTCATATGGTGCTGGGCCTGCAGGTTCACAGAAGTCAAGAATTGAGTTTTGGGAACCTCCACCTAGATTTCAGAGCATGTATGGAAACATGTCCAGGCAGAAGTTTTCTGCACAGGTGGAACCTTCATGGAGAACCTCTGCTAGGGCAGTCCAGAAGGGATATGTGGGGTCAGGGACCCTACAAAGTCCCGACTGGGACACTGTCCAGTAGAGCTGTGAGAAGAGGGTCCTCCAGGCCCCAGAATTCTAGATCCACTGACAGCCTGTGCCGTGCACTTGGAAAAGCCTCAGACACTCAATGCCAGTTCATGAAAACAGCCAGGAGGGGTGCTGTATCCTGCAAAGCCACAGGGACAAAGTTGCTCAAAGCTGTGGGAGCCGACCTCCTGCATCAGCATAACCTAAATGTAAGACATGGGGTCAAAGGAGATCAGTTTGGAGCTTTAAGGTTTAACTGCTCCTCTGGATTTTGTACTTCCATGGGACCTGTAGTCCTTTCATTTTGGTCAATTTCTCCCATTTGGAACAGATGTATTTGCCCAATGCCTCTACTGCCATTGTATCTGGGAAACAATAAACTTCTTTTCGATTTGGCAGTCCCTTTCCCTTCACAGATGGAAGGGACTTGCCTTGTCCAAGGTGAGAGTTCGGACTTGACTTTCAGGTTAATGCTGGAATTAGCTAAGACTTTGGGGGACTGTTGGAAAGATGTGATTGTGTTTTGAAATGTGAGGGCATAAGATTTGGGAGGGGCCAGAGGTGGAATGATATGGTTTGGCTGTGTCCCCACCTAAATCTCATCTTGAATTTTAGTTCCCATAATTCCCATGTTTGGTGGGAGGGACCCAGTGGGAGGTAATAGAATCACGGGGGTGGGTTCCCCTATGCTATTCTCATTATAATAGGTTTTCATGAGATCCGATGGTTTTATAGGGGGCATCCCCCTTTGCTTCACTCTCATTCTTCTCCTTCCTGTCACCATGTAAAGAAGGAAGTGTTTGCCTACCTTTCTGCCATGGTTGTAAGTTTCCTGAGGCCTCCCCAGCCCTACAGAACTGGGAGTCAATTAAAGCTCTTTCCTTTATAATTTACCCAGTCTCAGGCAGTTCTTTATAGTAGTGTGAGAACGGACTAATACAATACCTAAGAAGGCAAACAAAGAAACAGCTCAATAAATTTGTACTTCTACCATTAATGATTCCAAAAAAAACAAAAACAAAAACAAAAAGAATAAGTATTACAGTGTTTCTTTCAGGTCTGAGAAGAACAAAAAAACGAAAGTTAAGAAAACTTTGACATTCTAAAAACTTTAAATAGAAACATTTTAATTCTGGAAGGCAGGATGGATAACTAATAGGCTTCAAAATTTCTCCTGCAGATATTTTGCCCATCACTTTTATTAAATTTAATATAATTTATTTTAGTTAAATAATTAATATGTTATAATAAAAGAGTTCATTTAATAAATATTAATATATAAAGGAGAAAGACCATGATAAATGCAATGGAATGGTATTATGTTTTGGACAGATATAAATGGCATTTCAAAGTTACTCCCTGAGAATGAGAAAAAGGGGTCTCAATAAATGAAAAATTAGTTTAGCACCCAAAATGAGAGCAATTCTTAAGTTGAAACTATAAATTTTTGAATTATTCCATTATAAGAAGAACCCAATATGGGTTTTAAAATATACCTATCTAGTTGAACTGAGATTTTGAAGGAAAAGAAATGAAAAATATAATACAAACAACTTATTTCCAAAGATAAATATAAAAGCTGAGTAGACATTGAATAACAATGCAAGGATGCCTAAAGCCTAATATAAATTGGAAAATGACTCAAATAGTCAAATTACTTACTAAATATAATACAAGAAAAGTATCAAAGAAGGACAGACTGCTCATGACAAGCAGTATCATGTTGACAGTGGAAAATGGTGGAAGTATGACTCAGTTCCTATTTTGCAATTTTTGGGTTTTTTTCTATTTAAAAATGATGTGCACCCTAAAAACTTTTAGAAATTATTATATATAAAACACAGTCTAAGTTAAGTAGATATATTATAAAATAAAACTGAATTAAAATACGTCTATTTGTCTTAACAAATTAGAACTAAATTTACTGAATTAGGTATACAGATTTGCCAAATCATCATTGGTACTCTTACAAAAGTTGCCAGATTAAGAAAGGGTGATCACAGAAAATGAAGAGAACAAATGTCCCAATTTTATCAGGAGAATAAAGGGAATTTTACAAAGCTTTGAAAAATTTAGTGCCCATGTATGAAAAGACAAGAAAGATATACACAAAGAGGTAATACATCTATGAATTTAAATAATAAAATGGTGGCAGTTACTTGGGTAAGAGTTTTGTCATTGAAGGAAAGAGAACAGAAATTAGATTGCAGAAAATTTAAAGAATAAAAAGGGAGGCAGTAGAAGGAGAAACATAATAGGGTTTTGTTGTTTTGTTTTGTTTTTATTATTCTTGTTAATAACACCACTACCATACTGTTTTGGATACTGCAGCTTCATAGTATAGTTAAAAGTCAGGTAATGTGATGCCTCCAGCTTTGTTGTTTTTGCTAAGGGTTTCTTTGACTTTTCAGGCTCTTTATTCCATATAAATTTTAGAATAATTTTCTTATTCAGTGAAAAATGACATTGGTAGTTTGAAAGAAATAGCATTGAATCTGTAGATTGCTTTAGGCAGTATGGCCATTTTAATGATATTTAATCTTCCAATCTATGACCATGGAATTTCTTTTTCCATTTGTTTATGTCTCTGATTTATTTTTGCAGTGTTTTGTAATTCTCCTTGTAGAGATCATTCACCTCCTTGTTTAGATGTATTCCTAGGTATATTTTATTTGTGTGTGTGTGCCTATTGTAAATGGGATTGTGGTCTTGATTTGGCTCAAAGTTTGAATATTATTGGTGTATACAAATGCTACTGATTTTTATACATTGATTTTGAAACTTTACCAAAGTCATGTATCAGTTTTAAGAGACTTTGGTAGATTATTTTCGGTTTTCTAGGCATATAATCATATAGTCAGTGAAGAGAGATAATTTGACTTCCTTTATTCCTAGCTGGATGCCTTTCATTTTTTTCTCTTGCCTGACTGCTCTGGCTAGGACTTCTAGTACCACATTAAATAGAAGTGGTGAGAGTAGGCCTTCTTGTCTTATTCTAGTTTTTAAGAGGAATGTGTCCAAAATTTGCCCATTCAGTATAATGTTGGATGTAACTTTGTCATAGATGGCTATCATTATTGTGAAGTATGTTCCTTCAATGCCTAGTCTGTTGAGGGTTTTTACTATCAAGAGATCTCAGATTTTACCAAAGGCTTTTTCCAAATCTAGTGAGATGATCATATATTTCTTTTTAATTCTGTTTATGTGGTAAATCAAGTTTGTTGATTTGCATATGTGCAACCAATCTTGTATCCCAAGAATAAAGGCCACTTGATTATAGTGAATTAACTTATTGATTTACTGCTGTATTCAGTTTACTAGCATTTTGTTGAAGAGTTCTGCATCTATATTTGTGAGGCATATTGGCCAGTAGTTTTCTTTCTTCCTTCTTTTCTAGATTTTGGGTCAGGATTATACTGTTTTTATAGAGTAAGTGAAGAAGAAATCTATTTTGCCTAATTCCCTGAGTTTCAGTAGGATTAGTATCAGCTCTTCTTTGTACATGTGGTAGAATTCAGCTGTAAATCCATCTCATCCAGGGCTGTTTTTTTTGGTAGTTTTTATTTTTTTATAACTAATTCAATGTCTGAGCTCATTTCTGGTCTGTTCTGGCTTTCAATTTCTTCCTGGTTCAATCTTTGGAGGCTGTGTGTTTCTAGAATTTTATCCATTTTCTCTAGATTGTCTAGTTTGTGTGCATAGAGACATTCATAGTAGCCTCTGAACATTTTTTCCTATGGGATCAGTTGTTATATAAGCTTCGACATTTAGGATTGTGCTTATTTGAATTTTCTCTCTTTTTTCTGTTTAATTTAGCTAGTAGTCTATTAATCTTGTTTAATTTTGAAGTAACTAACTTTTCAGTATTTTTTGGGGGGGGGGTGTTCAGTTCTGTTACCTCTGCTGTGGTATTAGTTGTTTCTTTTTTTCTCCTAGATTTGAGATTAGTTTGTTCTTGTTAATTTAATTTCTTAGGTGTGAATGTTAAATTGTCCATTTAAGCTCTAACTTCTTACTCTAGGTGTTTAGCACTATAAACTTTCCTCTTAACACTGCTTTTGTCAGATCCCAAAGATTTTAGTGTGTTGGTCTGTTTTGCTTAGTTTCAAAGAATGTTTTGATTCATGTCTTAATCTTACTGTTTCCCCCAGAGTTATTTAAGAGCAAGTTGTTTAGTTGCCATGTACTTACTTGGCTTTGAGAGTTCCTCTTGGTATTGATTTCTATTTTTATTTAACTGTGGTCCTAGCAAATGCTTGATTTGATTACCATTCTTTTGAATTTTTTGAGGCTTTCTTTGTGGCCAAGCATATTCTCAATGTTGGAACATCTATCATGTGTATGTGAGAAGAATGCATATTCTGTGGTTGTTGGGTGGAGTATTCTGCAGAGATGTATTAGGTACAATTGGTCAAGGGTTGAGTTGAAATCCAGTATTTCTTTTTTAGTTTTCTCACAAGATGCTATTAGCGGGATATTGAAGTTTCTCACCATTATTATATGGCTAAGTCTTTTTCTAGGTTTATAAGTATCATTTTATAGATTTGGGTGCTCCAATATCAGGTACATATAGATGTAGGATAATTAAGTCTTCTTATGGAATCGTGTCCTTTATCATTATGTAATGCTGTTCTTTGTCTTTTTGTATTTTTGTTAGTTTAAAGTCTGTTTTTTTCTCATACAAGAATAGCAACCCTGTTCTTCTCTGTTTTCCATTTCCATGATAGATCTTTCTCTATCCCTTTACGTTAAGCCTTTAAATTTCATTACATGTGAGATGAGTCTCTTGAAGACAGCAAAAGTTTGAGTATTAATTTTTTTTATCCAACTTGCCACTTGGTGTCTTTTAAGTGGAATGTTTAGACCATTTATATTCTGGGTTAATACTGATATGTGAGGTTATCTTCCTATCATGGTGGTGTGAGCTGGTTTGTTTATAGTCTCAATTGGGTAGTTGTTTTGTAGGGCCTACGGGCTATGTACTTACATGTGTTTTTATGGTAGCAAGTATTTAGTTTCGAAATTTAGAGCTCCCTTCAGCATCTTTGTTAAGTCCAATCTAATATTTAAAAAAAATCCCTTAGAATTTTGCGTGTCTGGGAAAATTTTATTTCTCTTTTGGTTATGAATTTAGTTTGGAGGGGTATGAAATTCTTTTTTTTTAAAGAATTACAAAATAGACACCCAATCTCTTTTGACTTATAAGGTTTCTGGTAAGAAGTTCCATGTTAACCTAATGGGGTTTCCTTTATAGGTGATCTTATCATTTTCTGTAGCCTCTTTTAAGATGTTTCCTTTCACATTGACCTTGGATAGTGTGGTGATTATGTGCCTTCGGAATGGTATTCTTCTATAGTGTTTTACAGGGGTTTTCTGAATTTCTTATATTTGCATATCAAACTTTCTAGCAAGATCAGAGAAATTTTCATGGCTAATATCCTCCAATATGCTTCTCGAGTTGCTTACTCTCCCTTTTTTCTCTCATGAATGGCAGTGGGTCATAGGTTTGGTCATTTTACATAATCCCATATTTCTCAGATGTTTTTTTCATTTCTTTTAAATTAGTTTTTCTTTATTTTTGTCTGACCATGTTGATTCAATGGACTAGGCTTTGCACTCTGAAATTAACTCCACTGCTAGGTCTAGTCTGCTAAGGCTTTCAACTGCATTTTAAAATTTCTGTAGTGAATTTTTCAATACCAGAAGTTCAGTTTTGTTCTTTCTTAATATGGCTATGTCATCTTTCAAGTCTTGGATAATTTTTCTGTCTTCTTTAAATTTGATTTTAACTTTCTCTTAGATCTCATTGAGCTTTTTTGCCATCCAGATTGTGAATTATGTGTCTGTCACTTCAGAGACTTAAGCCTGGTTAGAATCCACTAGACAGCTAGAGAGCTAGGAAAATACTTTGGAGGTAACAAAACACTTTGACTTTTTGAATTACTGGGGTTCTTGCACTAATCTCTTCTCATCTGAGATAACTGATATATATGTATTTTTTAGCTTTTTAATATATATTTATATATTATATGTAATATACAAAAATATATTATTTATATAATACATATATATCAAATATGTAAGCTATATATAAATATATTTATATATAATATTCATTTATAATATATTTTATTTTTATATATAATATATATTTATAAATATTTTATATATAATATATATACATATAGTATGTATACATATCATATATAATATATACATATATAACATGTATACATATATCACATATAATATATACATATATAACATGTATACATATATCACATATAATATATACATATATAACATGTATACATATATCATATATAATATATACATATGTAACATGTATACATATATCATATATAATATATACATATGTAACATGTATACATATATCATATATAATATATACATATGTAACATGTATACATATATCATATATAATATATACATATGTAACATGTATACATATATATAACATATACATGTAATATGTATACATATATAATATATACGTATGTAATATGTATACATATATAATATATACGTATGTAATATGTATACATATATAATATACACGTATGTAATATGTATACATATATAATATACACGTATGTAATATGTATACATATATAATATACACGTATGTAATATGTATACATATATAATATATACAATGTAATATGTATACATATATAATATATACAATGTAATATGTATACATATATAATATATACAATGTAATATGTATACATATATATAAAATATACATATGTAATATGTATACATATATATAAAATATACATATGTAATATGTATACTATATACAAAATATACATATGTAATATGTATACTATATATAAAATATATACACATATATATATTTTTTTGAGACGGAGTCTCGCTCTGTTGCCCAGACTGGAGTGCAGTGGTGCGATCTCGGCTCACTGCAAGCTCTGCCTCCCGGATTCACGCCATTCTCCTGCTTCAGCCTCCTGAGTAGCTGGGACTACAGGCGCCCATCACCACACCCGGCTAATTTGTTGCATTTTTTAGTAGACACGGGGTTTCACCGTGTTAGCCAGGATGGTCTGGATCTCCTGATCTCATGATCTGCTGGCCTCGGCCTCCCAGAGTGATGGAATTACAGGCGTGAGTCACTGCACCCGGCCACATTTTATATATATATATATATATATATATATATATATATATATATATATATATATATAATGTTTTATATATATATGAGAACTGATATATATATTTTGTATATATATGAGAACTGATATATATATTATAGATGTATATATATAAAATTATATATAGAAATTGCTGTAGTTCGAATGGGGCTTTTTGTTTTATATTCTTTTTTTCCTTGAGGATTTGACTGCAGTGAATGTTGTGAATCGTCGGTTGACTTTTTTTCTGAGTGCCTTCGAGGGCCACGGCTCTGTACAGGTTTTAGGTTGTATATAGATTCCTGTGGTGGGTTTCAGAGGCGTTGCTCATTGGAGGAATATATTTTCCTTTGGTGGTATAATTCAGGCTGCAGCCTAGCAGATACTGCTTAGGAGTACGGGCCAGCAGATAGGCTCTTTCTCAGCTACACACCCCTTTTGTATTTCAGTATGCATGTAACAGGGCTCCCTTCTTTTAAATCTGGATTGTGGCTGAGGACACATCCTGGTACCTGATGTCTCTAAGCAAGTTTCCCAGCTTCTTCCTTCCTCAACTATGGTGTTTGGCTTCCCTCTCTATAGAATTTCGTGTTTTCTCAAAATGTCTCTTTGAAGTGTAATGATTTCCCTCGATATTTTGGTTCCTCTTGATGAAAGAGACATTTCCTGGTTGCATCATAAAATGTAGATAACAAATGTAAAATCTATAAGTATTTAAGATACATTGTAATATCTGTAAATATAATGATTTATAACATGTGCTGTATGATAATTTAGAAGGGGGAGAGAAAAAGGTTTATTGAGAGGACAAGTGATATCTGTACAATAATTGCCTTACAAATAAAATACACATACACACAAAAGTATATTAAAACATATTGTATTTATAGGGCTTAAATGAATACAAATATCTAACATTATATTTTAAAATTAATGAAAATGTATGCATTTTTACCAAGTCTTTTACTTCCAAGAGTTATTAGATGTACAAATCCAAAATTTAAAACAAAAAAAACTTTTTTCTTGTACCCTCATTGAGAAAAGTAAAACTTCAAACTCTCATAAAATCTATCTAAAAATCAAAAATTTAACAGAAAGCCTAGAGAAAGCACAGAATATGTATATTTTACTCTCTTCATTCAGCACCTGTTAGAATAGCATGTACCTGTGAATGCTAAATAAATAATTTTGACAAAGAATGAATGCATATTGGCACTGATAAGAAAGTTATAAAATTTGAATTGCATTTTGAAGTAAAAAATGTAATCTACTATTTCATAATGATTCAACAAATGGCCAGTATTTCTCTCTGATTCTGTTACTTTTTGCACTGGCTTCATGCCCTTTTCCTCTCCTTGGTTTTCCATGCTATAAGGTAATTCATAAGCAATGAAAATTAAAATAAGCTCATGTGATTGCTTCATTACCTTTTAGCATGAAGCCACCATTGAGTAATTTTACTCAGTCCATTGTAAAGTAAATCACAATGTAGTGGGATACCAATGCACATCACTGTTCACTGTAGGCAATAAAAACCTGTAGATTTAGCTAAGAGGGCATCTATTCCAAACTCTTACCCAAATTAGAAATCTCCTCCACAACAATACTGATAGACGTTATCTACTATCGATTTGAATATATCTACCAATATAAAATACTGGCTTTCAGCATATTCTATTTTGTTTGAATGTCTCCAACTGCTAGATAATATTTCATGTATTGACCCAAATCCAAAATTCAATTAAATTTCTAGTCCTTTCCCCTTGTGTAATTTCTGAGGACATATATAGACAAAATCTCACCTCTCTTTAATATTACAGCTTTACAAATAGTTAAAGACCCTTCAAATTTCTTACATTAGTACTACCAGATGTTATGTTTGCCTTAAAAAGTCATCGTTTATGGCTATTTCCTAGAAGGGCATTTGTGTGCCATAGGAATTTTTCCCGGATTTTCCATCTTTTAAAAATAAAGAAGTAGTATCAAGAATTGTATAAAATAAGCCAAAATCAGTTTAAAAGACCTATAATTATTCCTCCCGTCACCAAGCAAGACTTATCTAATAATATATGTGATACATGTGTAGTAACAAAGTTATCAATATAACACGTGATTAAGTTTGAAAAATGACCAAAGATAGGTTATCACTCTTTTCCTGAGGGTTCTTGCTGATAAAAAATACAATGTTAAAGGAAAGGATAAACTAGGAGCAGCTAACTCTTTCCACCTTTGCTCAGTGATAGAAAAATTATCCAGTCCTGATGTGCCTGTAAACTGCTTGATGTGCGTCCAACTCTGCCACAGTCTACGCCAAAGCTTGTGACATGTAAGAAACTGTCAGGTTATGAGTTAGTATGCTCAGTTGGAAATGTGGGAAAAAATACACTAGATGTATGTGAAATATATGTCAGCAATATTGTGACTAGTACCACCATATAGCAAAAGGAGAAAAATCTGAATGTTTTTGCAATAGCAGATTAGTAAACTTCATGCATTGTATAAATATATAACTACGTAGTTTGCTGTTTTATAGCACATTTTAGTTTGCTTTCAGGTGTCAGTAGTTCAATCAATTTGAAATGATTTCTAATAAAAAACAAGAATTGAATTTCTATTTCAACAAAATTAACAATAAACATAAGAATTACAAAATTTTGATAACATGAAAGATGGTAATTGAACATGTGCAGTTACAGAACATGCATTTTCATGTCACTCAAAATTATAACTTTTTAGTTAGACCAAATAATTATTCTTTTCAGTTAATTTTGCTTGTTTTCACTCAAGTTTTAAATGGTTTGTAAATTTGGTTAAAAAATTGCACATTGAATAAAAACTCATTGGATATGTAGTAACAATATTGACACCAACAAAACAAATTTTTGTGAATCACAGAATTGTAATGAAAACATTTTTTAATTAAGAATCCTATGTAGCCAAATATAGTTCACATTGGTTATGTGAGTGATTAACTCATGATTGCATCCAAATGAGGGGTGATATTTTAGCAATTGAAATAGACTCTATAATTGTCAAAATTTACATATGCAAGCATCACTGAACTACACATTTTCTTGTGATGAAGCTGATGTTTAATAATAAATATTAAATAAAATAATAGGCTGTTCATCATGGTAGTGCATAATTTTACTCTTTACTGCCTGGCATCAACTATATTTTGGGAAGTTTTGAAATTGCAGAAAAAGTATTTTGTAAATCAGCTTCAATAGTCTGAAATCCCTATCTTTTGTAAATCAGTTCTCTACATTTAGTTATGTTTGTTTCAAAATAAGGTCAAAACCTGTAATCAAATAATTCAGTGAATGAAACTAAAAGGGGTCCTATTTTGCACCTTTTACAGAATTTTAACTATTGAAAATAAAGCTTGTATGGAAGACTACATAAATATATTGAAAATAATTATTATGAAAGTTAGAAAGTAAACAAATGTATTGATTCCTAGGAGTTCAAATAGGGCAGAAGATTTAATTCTGAGATTCTATAATTGCATCTTGCTATATGCTTTGAAAAAATACTTTGACATAGGTCCCATTCTTATTGGATAAATTTATATTCTATGCTGGGATAAAATTAGAGATGGCCTAAAATTTGTCACATCTAAATTTGGCAAAACCTTGAAAATAAAATTAAATTAAATCAATTCTCTGTGACTTCCATGTAACTTAAAACTAAACAGAGACTATTTTCTGAAATAAAAATATTGAGAGAATTGATTGAAAGTGATGATAACCTAATTTTAATAAATAAGCTATTACTGTATATTGGAAAAAACAACACTAAAATATAAATAATAAAACATATTAGCAAATGCTGAGGCAAAGATATTTTTGAAATCACAATTTTGATAATCAGCTATTCTTTTTACCTATGTACTTTGAGATAAACTCAACTAAGTCAGGACACTATCATTTTTAAATATTGCTGGACTTTTTGTCTTAATATTTTGTTATAGATATTTGTAGTTATGTTCCTGAGGAATAATTTTCTGTGAATTTTTTCTTCTTTTTATTAATAGAAATATACCAGTGTTTCTTATCAGGTTTATGCTAGCTGGCCTCATCAACTTAACTGGGAATCCATAAATAACTATTATAAACAATCACAATTGTTTCTAAAACATTTGGATTGGCTAGACTAGAATTCAACTTGGGTTTTAATGCTACCATTCAAATAAATGTATCCTCAGTAGTAAATTACTTAACACTATGTTCCTATTTTATATGTGAAGTAAGCTCAGTAATTATGAAATATAATAGCTGCATCAACACTCTTCGGAGATTTCATCAACTGAAGAGAGCCACCTTGGTTAATATCATACCGCATTCACAGAGCAGCCTGTCTCCACTGACTAATCAAAAAGAGGATATGCCACCTAGCCTTCAAATCTCAGCTGGTCACAACTCCGAATGGTCATTTCAGCTCCATAGCTTTCCATGGGATGGACCAGCACTGTTGTTGAAACTGCATCACAAGTAATCTTTTTCCTTTGTTCAATACTGCTTCATTCCTCCTTCTTTCAGAGAAGTTGACTTCAAAAGCATTCTCTTATAAACACCCTCCTTGCTTATTTCCTATCCTGAGGAACCTAACTTTTAATGATAATAATGCCAACCAAGGTTATTGTGAGGATAATATTATATTCTACATATTAAGTACTTAAAACAGTACTCAAAACATCGTAAGCACTGAATACCTGTGATGAGAGATGACTGTATTTGAAAAGTGCCTAACTTTACAATAAGACATAAAAATCAGTAAATATGTCACAAATGTCTTCTCAAAGTCAGAAATTTAAGAAGCACATTCATTTAATACTATTTTTGAGAGCATATAATAATAAATTTTACAAATGCTATGAGGCATTGAGGGGTTAAGATTGCAGCTCCAACTCACTAACAGGCCATATTCTACTGACTCAAGAGAAAAAGCCTAGATTGATTCAAACTCATACTAATTATTCTAAATGTAGTAAAGAAAGGCAAGCTTCAATTACATATTTATCTATTGATGTGTAATAGACAACTATTTTACTCTGCTTACAATTTTTGGGTCAAACATTCAGAGAGGGCTCAGTGGGACAATTTGTTTCTAATAATGTAGCAGTGATATGAGACGGGGGCGGGGAAGTGCTGGGTAGAGAAGGGCAGGATTCCTGGCGAGGGCTCCACCCTCAGACCTGTGCCCCCAGACCTAAGTGAGGACAAGCACTCCTGTATTCACACTCAAATGTTGCATTTTACAAGACCACGGTGGCCTGCCATGCCCCCCATCCTGTGCCTATAAAAACCTCAAGACCCCAGCAGGCAGACACCCAAGTGGCTGGACATTGGGAGGAGCACACCAGCAGAAGCACACACCGACAGTCATGGGCAGGCCATTGATGGTGGAACAATGCAGACACCCAGGGGAATTAAGCCAAGGATGGTGAGAGGAGAGCCCTGCCACCGAAAGGCCCAACTCCAGGGGAAGACCACCTTCCCACTCCATCCCCTTTCTAGCTCCCCATCCATCTCCTAAGAACTACTTTCGACACTCAATAAAATCTTGCATGTGCGATCTGATTTTTCCAGTACACTGGGGCAAGAACCCCAGGATACAGAAAGCCCTCTGTCCTTGCGATAAGGCAGAGGGTCTAATTGAGCTGATTAACACAAGCCACCTCCAAACAGCTAAACTGAAAGAGCACATTATAACACATGCCCACTAGGCCTTCGGGAGCTGTAAATGCTCAACCCTAGAGGCTACTGTGAGTTCGGAGCCCATGCTCACCATGACCTGCCTGTCTGCATGCTTCCCCTGGGGGTTTGAGCAGCAGGGCACCGAAGAAGCAAGCCACACCACGGTCACACACCCTGCAAGGGGGTTAAGGGAAAACTCCTCCCATTTCAGCACAAGACGCAAGGCAGGTGCTAGATGATCCATATCTGAGATGCTTTCTCACTCACTTAGTTTGTGCTTCTGTGCCCTCTTTCTCCACAAAGCATGTTATTTTTCAGAAACACTCCAACTTGACCTGCGTCTGCAATTTATTGATTACAATTCTGGCAATATTTTTCCATCACCCTTGTTTTACCTTCTGAGTTCTTGGTTCTTCCCTTCCTCTTCTATGAGAAATAAACATGTTCATAACAAAAGAAACATATCAACATGATCTGCCCAAATAAGTTTAAGGGCTCAAAATCTTGTTTTCATTTTATAAATTCTCTCTTCCCATCAGTCCAAGCTGGTATAATGTTTTTAAACTTTGTGAATTTGCAATGTATGATATTTTAACCCACTCTATTACCTAAAAGTCATATCCACATTTGTTTGCAAAATAGGCCCTGCTGTGCCTTGGGTCAAAAGTCAAGTTGTTGTGCAACATTTCCCTTAATATTCGTACAAGTATTTTTGTCTAGTTACATGGTTAATGAGTGTGTTAGAAACACCCTTTTATGGCAGGGGAATTCCAAGAATATTTTTGAAAGATTTTTAGGAACCCTAATAGTTATGTCGTTAAATTTTTCCGAAGTTTCAGCACATAATCTGAAGTCTGCTCGATTGATGGCATATGGATTTGACTATTTCCCTGAAACCACTTTTTTCCTTGAGAATCTTTACTGAGAAATACTGGAGATAAAAAACTGGTTTTATCTTTGAAACCAGCAAGTCCTGGATCTTTTATACTTTGTGTAAACTCTGCTCAAAAACTGAACAGTTTCTTCTTTAGTTGATTTATCTTCTCTATTTTATCATAAGCCTCTAGAAGAAGACAATTAGAACTTTCTAGATTTTACCATGAAATCTTCCAAGCCAGAAAAAATGTTCACCATTTATCCTTTCTCTTTTTCACATTACCACAGGTAACAGTGTTGCCAAAATTTCTTCTACTAAAGATGAAATTAGTATTAACGTCCCATTTTATCTACCATCTGATAATGTTTTTCTTATCTTTGAAATAATCTCATTGTGGTTTTGATTTGCATTTATCTGATGGCCAGTGATGGTGAGATATCATTTCACACCAGTCAGAATGGCAATCATTAAAAAGTCAGGAAACAGCAGGTGCTGGAGAGGATGTGGAGAAATAGGAACACTTTTACACTGTTGGTGGGACTGTAAACTAGTTCAACCATTGTGGAAGTCAGTGTGGCGATTCCTCAGGGATCTAGAACTAGAAATACCATTTGACCCAGCCATCCCATTACTGGGTATATACCCAAAGGACTATAAATCATGCTGCTATAAAGACACATGCACACGTATGTTTATTGCGGCACTATTCACAGTAGCAAAGACTTGGAACCAACCCAAATGTCCAACGATGATAGACTGGATTAAGAAAATGTGGCACATATACACCATGGAATACTATGCAGCCATAAAAAATGATGAGTTCATGTCCTTTGTAGGGATATGGATGAAATTGGAAATCATAATTCTCAGTAAACTATCTCAAGAACAAAAAACCAAACACTGCATATTCTCACTCATAGGTGGGAATTGAACAATGAGAACACATGGACACAGGAAGGGGAACATCACACTCTGGGGACTGTTGTGGGGTGGGGGGAGGGGGGAGCGATAGCATTGGGAGATATACCTAATGCTAGATGACTAGTTAGTGAGTGCAGCGCACCAGCATGTCACATGTATACATATGTTACTAACCTGCACATTGTGTACATGTACCTTAAAACTTAAAGTATAATAAAAAATACATTTCATAATTAAATTGCTCATATACTACTGTGAAAAAAAAGAGAAATAATCATCAAAAGTCTTCTCAGTTACCAGCTTCTGATTTACAGGCAATCTCATAGCAATAAAACTTCTTTTAGGATTCAGTTATAGAGACAGACTGATTCAAAGTACCAAGTTATCTTCCAGTGATCAAGTATTGACTTAAAACTACCCTAAAACTGAATGACCTAATATAACTATTTTGTTTTGCTTATATTTTTGTGACTAGGGAATCAGGGATGGTTTCTGCTGGGAAATTTTTCCCTCAACAAAATAACATCAGCTGCTGTGGCTGAGGCCACTTAAAACACGACTTTTTAACTCAGTGATCTAGTTCCTTAGTGTTCCTTAGCTTGTCTCTCTCTCCATGTGGTGTCTCCTCCCACTGACTGCTTCACACAGCTCGAGTTTCTCACATGTGGTCTTCTAACTTTTAATATGCTGCCTGACATTTTCTAGAATATGTTTTCTAAGAATAAAGCATTCAAATAAGTCCAGGCAGAAGCTGTAAAACTTATTACCCGAGCTACAATAACCCTTCTGCCATATTTCATTGCTCAAGCAAGTTTCTAAGATCAGTCTACATTCAAAGACAAAGGAAAAAATTTCTACCTCTGAAGAAAGGAATAGCATGCATTTACAAGAAAAGAGATAATTCATTATTATCATGTAAGAGATAAGTTAAAAAAAGATAGAAGACCATGAAACATTAAAAAGTTAATATATATTATAAACAAAGGAACAAAACTCTTATTGTTTAATATGATATAAGCACAAATTTTATAATAGCTAATTGGCAACAACTTCATTTGAATAATTTGCTTGAGTTAACCCACTTACATACGTAATTTCATAAATTTGTAATAAAAAAAGGGAAACAATTCCCAATAAAATTTTGGATAATCCTATTACAAAAAGATATTTTTTAGAAACTGCTTGCCATAGGAAATTTTAACCCTCATTTGCCTCTTGGAGTCAAGAGAAAACTCCACTAAGGACACAGCTAACCTCTCTAAAACTTTAACTGGTATGAAGTTTTATAAAGACCCTGGCTACAGGACCAAAGTTCAATTCACTTAACAAATCTGGACCTCAAGTGAATTGGGTTAAGAATAAGTTCAGAAACAACTTCTCTTACAAATGCAAAGAATTAATGACCACAGATGTCTTATTTGCCAAGCCTGATCTCTTGGGAAGAGCACAGGACCCTGAACATGTGCTAATGGGTCTGTGCCCTAAAGGCAAAGCTGGCCTTTCAGTTGTTAGGAGCTTCATATACTAAGTTTCTCTGAGCATTTTAAAAATGAATCCATTCTCTGACTCTGAGCAGTTTCTCAAATAATGTGGAATTCCTTTATTTAACACTACAAAACTTAGTGTCAAGAGACAAGACTATAAATTTTTAGACTTTCCCTGTTATAGTAAGGGGAAAAGTGTTCTGTTATTATTTCTACCCTAACATCAGATGTGTATAAGGCAGGAAAAGACCAGATTGGTTTTTAGAAGTTCGACACTAAAATCTCTGCCCACACACTTATAAATTATCTCTCCTCAAAAATATGTACAAACAATCTGGAAATATGATGAGTATCACTAAAGGAACAAGGACTTGACCTCTGCAACCCTTTCTGATGTTACTAATAAAAGTAAATAAGTTATAATTTCCAAAATAATCATTATTTTTTGGTTTCAATGAAGTACCCGCAATGTTGCCTATTTTTGGGGGTATGTTTTTTGCATTTTTTAGACTTCATTTGTCTCCTTCTTCCCCTCCTCCTCCTCGTCTCCTCCTCTGTTTCTTCTGCATCAAATAAAATTAGACCATGAATTTTGTTTTAGTTATTGGCAACAGCAGTATTACTGCCATTAATAGATCTGCTATGCAGGCTGCTCTATAGTAAATGATTTGCATATATGTTTTAAATTTACAATAACCCTGGAAGGTAAATTCTATGATGAAAGAAGAAAGAAACAACCAAACCCATTAACTAAAGGATTTATTAAGAATGCTGGAAATACAGGAAGTAGCTTAGAATGAATATCCTACAGGGAGCAAGTAGCTGAAAATTTTTATAAAGCTGAATGAAGAGGGTTACTCAAGATTAATTACTCTATGATAATTTTTCACTGTTCAAATCCTTAGAACGTATGGGGAAAATGAATTAAATTAATCAGGTGACAGAATATAGGAATGAGAAGATGGGACTTCAGTTTAACAGGTGTTGGTTGCTTACTTTGCATTTAAAAATGAGAGGAAGGCAGGAAAGCTTTTGAAAGCTAAAATTCTTGGTGCATGGCTAAGATTTGGTGTTTGGTTTTTAATGATGGCTGGAATTGTCTCTTGAGTTAGCAGTTGTACAAAGAAGCATTTAGGATTCTGGGCAACATAAAATATGAGACTATGATGCTACAGCACAGGTAAAGTAGTGTCATTAATATATTAATATACCCTGAAATGTTTCCTTAATCTGACACTTACTTTCCATTGTCCAAGCCAGGTAATAAATCCTTGAATGAAGACAATTGTTTAAAATGCATTCATAAAAGTTCAAATGATGTAATGCATTGGGTCTCATCAAACACCATCTTTAAAATTTTGTCAGGGTTATAAGTTTAACTAATAGAACATATGTTAGAAATATTTTCAAAAATTTTAGGTAGGATTGCCCTACCAATCAATGCTAGTTTAAGATATTAGTCAATTATCTCCATTATGGTGGTAAAAGTGAACAGTTCTGGCTACTTAGATATGTTACATAGCAATAAAAGAATGGAAAACTATGAAATTCTCCATTGAAATATAATCAATTTATCAAGACTTATCTAGTGATTACATATTATAAACAAGGAGGACACTGAGCAATCTTCAGGTCCTTTGATATAATAACAAATGTATATAATTGCCACTTATTGTTTCCAATTCAAATATTATGAATATTTAGAAACAAACATTAATTTGTAGGCAATTGTTAAGCCACTTTGTGTACTTGAACTTGAGTATGCTTTTTTTAACCTGAAAAGTGCACCATCATTGAAATATATTTATATTAGTATGTCTTACTTTCACATAAACAAAATTATAAAGACTGAATTTCTCTCATAGTCTGTTAGTTTTTTTGGTTACTGTTTTTTCTTTCTTTTTAAGTTTGATAAAGATAGAATTCTCACAATAGTTAGAAGTCACTTAATATTTGAGGAATGCCAGTTGCTTTTATTATCCTTCCTTTTAAAGATGAAATGAAGAAGCAAAATTCTTGTTATATGATGGCCATTCCAGAAAAAATGAAGAGAGGTTTATACATAAAAGACATTTTAACAGTTGTACTCTTCTGAATTTGAGCTTGAATGCAGTAAAAGCAACATTTTAAAAGAATTAACTGGAAGTAATAGTTATTGGGAAAAATAATAGCATTGGGAATAATAATTAGAAATATATTTTTCAAAGAATAACAAATTTTGTATCAAAATAAATAACAAAATTTATATCTCTTGGTAGAGAATAACTTTATTTTATAGAAAGGAATACAAATTATACTCTTTCTTAACTTCACAAATCATAATTTTAGCTTTAACATATAAGTAACATTTTAAACATTAAAAATGCAAATTCATATTAAAATTACATTAATAAACTATAACAATTTTTAAAAATAAATCATATCCATTATTTTGTATATTCATATTTTTCTATAATTATATATACAAATACAGAAAAATGTACATATATATATATTTATTGTACTTTTTATTGATTATACCTTTAACCAGAGTAATCAATTCTGTTTCTTCCATAGAGGGACATAGAGAAAACTGAAAAATAGAAAATCGCAAACTCCCTATTTTTTTATGTTTGTGAGGACATATTTTATATCAAGGTTACTAATTTTAACACAGCAAGAAAGATAAACCTGTATAGCATCATCCAATGGTATTCACATACTCTACAATTTTCAGAAAAAAAGGTAAAATAAGCAGTATAGTCACTAAGGTTTGTAAATTTATCTTACCTGCAAGTTCATATACCCACAAATTATTTTATTAATCCAACACAATATTAGTTTAATGTCTTAAAATTAGTTAAAAATTTGGAAATTATAATTTAAATTGACACATCAAGCTGTTTTTATTTGTAACATTTTAAGAACTTATTTATGAATTAACTATTTTTGAAACGTCAATTATTACAAGTTAATTTAAACATAATTTTAATATTCAACATCTTATACAATTGTGAAAAATGAAAATAGATGTGACTCTTAAAATCAATGTAGAAAGTTTATTAACATTAGCTCATGAAAATTATAGTTTTGAATATGCTAGAATATTGGGTTGATATTAATTTTAAATAAGATGTATAAGGAGACAGTCATCTTTAAATCAATATAATTAAATAATCCCAAATTATCCAAAGATTCATATATTTATCAAGAATATAAAACAAATCTCTTATTAATAAAATTTATAGATATAAATAAACTAAAATATAAAGACTCCAGATAATATTTACATGTACTCTTCTTGTTTAGGATCACAGCTCTTTTTTTTCTCACCTTGTAACAACTGAATTACTCATTTACACCCAGAGCTGAAGTTTGGGGTTTTTCTTTTAAACATAGACTACTTGTTTTAAGCAAAAGGAATGCTGCATAATAATTTAGATTTAATTATTTAAGAAACTCCTAAAATTCATCTGAACTAGATATTTTTAGATCGCATCCATAATAACAGAAACAGAATTTGACCAATTAGCATTCATAATACCCAAGTAGAAAAGAAATGAAAAAAAGTACACACACGTACACATACACATAAACATGCGCACACACAAAATTAAGAGCAGGTTGGCTTAGACAAAAGTAAAATGATTATTGTAGAATCCAATGATCTTCCCTCTAGTAGAAAGAGAGAATGATTAGATGCAGAAAACCCATTTTAAAACCTGCAAACAGGAGAATTGCTTCAACCTGGGAGGCAGAGGTTGCAGTGAGCCGAGATTGCGCCACTGCACTCCAGCCTGAGCAACAGAGCAAGACTGTCTCGAGAAAAAACAAAACAAAACAAAACAAAACAAAACCTGCAAACACACACTCACCCACCACAAGAAGGGAGTTATTAGAGTTTATTTAAATTAAGTGATGTGTCTCAAGTGACTTGTCTTTTAGATAGATTCTTCTCATGAAGTGTTCAACCATTTTTGTCCAAAGACACCTCTTAAAAGACCAAATTTATTTGCATCAAAAGTGCCTTAAATTAATTGCCACTCTAATTATAAATGTTTCCAAGGAAATGCCTCAAAGTACTCAAATGATTGACAGAAGAGGCATCTATACAAATAGGGCACCAGCTTAGTGTGAACTTTTCAACTGATATTGCCTATTGCCTTCCGGTGGTGAGAAGTAAAAAAAAAAAAAAAAAGTGGGATCTCCCTAAAAATTAAACAAATTCTTGTACACTTGCCTCATCTTAAAAGACACTAGGAGTGAAAAGCAAATAGATGGTTCTCATCCAAAGATGATTATAATAATGCTTATGATTATACAAAGGCTTGATAGAACTCAAAACACAAAAGGGCAGAATGCCAAGCAAGGGAATAACTCATGCAGATTTCCTGTAACAGGGGCCCATAATAAGGGAGATAACAAATGATCTTCAGCATGTCCTACCCTTGTCAAAATTTCCCTAGACACTAAATCTGTGGAAGCAGAAAAACCAAATGCAAAACAAATTTTAGTCTTTATTAAAAAAATTTTTTTTGAATGTAAGATCAGTGCAAAATAAGTATCTTAGCAATTTGGGCTGCTATAACAGTACACCATAGGTTTGAGAAAGGAGGAAGGAAGAAACGAGTCAAGCAGTCAGGTAGGTGGGTCATTGGTAAAACACCTTCAAACAAAGAACAGCCCAAAAATTAAGCTGTGGGCCCCAGATAAGGAAAAGTGCACATCCTTAAATGAAAATACCTATTCTGTCAACCCAGATGAACAAATTCCACTTTTTTTTTTTTTTGGACAAATTTCTCTCTCCTTGGTGCACCTTCTTCTTGTTTCACACATTTTTTCCCAATTAGTCCTTAACTTTTACCTATTTTACATTTACCTATGTTTCTGTGATTGACTGTAGGCTGCATTTTCATTTGCATAAAGTGTAACGTCACTCCAGTCCCTGATTAGTTGCTGGTAGAGCCTTCACCTCTGCCTCCAATTGGTTCTTTTCACTATCATGTCTCTTTCTCAATGCTGCTTCCTCCAAGATGCCCACAGCCCAGTCAGCACACTCCTTTCCGTTCCCAATCCATAAAAATCCCTGAATTTATCACTACAGCTGGTGACCCTCTTTCGGGTCCCCTTTCCTTGCTGGGGCTTTTCTGTTGCTTAATAAATCCAACTCTGCCTTACACTCTCTAATGTCCACTTTCCTTATTCTTCTTGGTCGTTGGACAGGAACCAAATGCTTGCTGGCAGTGGGAGTAAAATAGCTGTAACACTCCCTCCCAATTGCCAAACAGCAACAGTGAAAAAGCTATACAGATTCCGTGGCTTAAGCAACAGATGTTTATTTCTCACAGTTCTTAGTTCTCACAGTTCTTGAGGCTAGCAAGTCCAAGTTTAAGGTGCCAGTAGGTTAGCTTCTCTGTGAAACCACTGGCTTCCAAGTTATCTCTCTGGCTTGCAGATAATCACCTTCTCACTGTATCTTCTCATGGTAGAATGAGATCAAGTTGAGGTCTCTTTCTCTTTTTAAAAAAGACACTAGTTTCATCATGGAGTCTCTATCCACATGATCCATCTAACCCTAATTACCTTCCGAAGACCTCACCTCTTAACACCATCGAATTAGGAGCTAGAGCTTCAACACATACATTTGGGAAAAAACACAAACATTAATTTCATAACAATAGGTGTTGTGAGGGAATAAGCAGCTTGCTAATCTTATAGGATTGATTGGGAAAGATCAGTCAAGGTTTGGTTTTGTCCTCAGAATTATTCACTCTTCAAAATTTCAGATGTGTGGTGATATAGTTTGGCTCTGTGTCCCCATCCAAATGTTAACTTGTAGCTCCCATAATTCCCACATGTTGTGGGAGGGACCTAGTGGGAGATGATTGCATCATGGGGGTGGGTCTTTTCCATGCTGTTCTCGTGATAGTGAATGGCTGTCATGAGATCTGATGGTTTTAAAAATGAGAGTTTCTCTGCACACGCTCTCTCTTTGCCTGCTGCCATCTATGTAAGATGTGACTTACTCCTCCTTGCCTTCCACCATGATTGTGAAGCTTTACCAGCCATGTGGAATTGTAAGTCCATCAAGCCTCTTTCTTTTGTAAATTTCCTAGTCTTGGGTATGTCTTTATCAGCAGCATAAGAACAGACTAATACAGTAAATTGGTACCATGAGTGGGTGTTTCTGAAAAGATACCTGAAAATGTGGAAGCGAATTTGGAACTGGGTAAAAGGCAGAGGTTGGAATATTTTGGAGGACTCAGAAGAAGACAGGAAAATGTGAAAATGTTTGGAACTTCCTAGAGACTCGTTGAGTGGCTTTGACAAAAATGCTGATATTGATAAGAACAATAAGATCCAGGCTGAGGTGGTCTCTGATGGAGATGAAGAACTTGTTACAAACTGGAGAAAAGGTGACTCTTGTTACGTTTTAGCAAAGAGACTGGCTGCATTTTGCCCCTACTCTAGAGATGTGTGGAACATTGATCTGGAGAGAGATAATTTGTGGTATCTGGTGGAGGAGATTTCTAAGCAGCAAAGCATTCAAGAGGTGACTTAGGTGCTGTTAAAGGCATTCAGTTTCAAAGGAAAACAGAGCATACAATTTTGAAAAGTGTTCAGCCTGACAATGCAACAGAAAATAAAATCCCATTTTCTAAGGATAAATTCAAGTTAGCTGTAGAAATTTGCATAAGTAACAAGGAGCCTAATGTTAATCCCCAAGACCATGGGGAAAATGTCTCCAGGGCATGTCAGAGACTTTTGTGGGAGCCCCTCCAATCACAAGCCTATAGGCCTGGTGGGCAGGGTGCAGGGTCCCCATGCTGTGTGCACCTTAGGGACTTGATGCCCTGCATCCTAGCTGCTCTTGCTGTGGCTGAAAGGGACCAACACAGAGCTTTGGCTGTGGCTTCAGAGGGTGTAAGCCTCATGCCTTGGGAGCTTCCATGTGGTGTTGAGCCTGCTAGTGCACAGAAGTCAATAATTGAGGTTTGGGAATCTTCACCGAGATTTCACAGGATTTATGGAAACACCTGTATGCTCAGGCAGAAGTTTGCTTTAAGGGCAGAGCCCTCATGGAGAATCTCTGCTATGGCAATGCAGAAGGGAAATGTGGGACCAGAACCCCCACACAGAGTCCCTACTGGAGCATTGCCTAGTGGAGCTATGAGAAGAGGGCCACCATCCTCCAGACCCCAGAATGGTAGATACACTGACCACTTGCCCCATGCACCTGGGATAGCCACAGACACTCAATGCCAGCAGATGAAGGTATTGTGGACAGAGGATGTACCCTGCAAAGCTAAAGGGGCAGAGCTGCCAAGACCATACCTCTTTCTTCAGCATCACCTGGATGTGAGACATGGAGTCAAAGGAGATCATTTTGGAACTTTAAGATTTGAGTACCCTCTGATTTCAGACTTGCATGGGGTCTGTATCCCCTTTGTTTTGGCCAGTTTCTCCCATGTGGAATGGCTGAATTTATCCAATGCCTGTATTCCCATTGTATCTAGGAAGTAAGTAACTTGCTAGATTTTACAGGCTCATAGGCGAAAGGGACCTGCCTTGTCTCGGATGAGACTTTGGACTGTGGACTTTTGGGTTAATGCTGAAATGAGTTGAGACTTTGGAGGACTGTTGGGGAGGCAGTAAAGTTTCAGGATACAAAATCAATATAAAAAATTAATAACTTTTCTATACACCAAAAACATCGAAGCTGAGGGCCAAATCAAGAATGCAATCACATTAACAATAGCCAAAAGTAAAAGACAATACAAAGGAATACATCTAACCAAGGAGGTGAATAATGTCTTCAAAAAGAACTACAAAAGACTGCTGAAAGAAATCTAAGATGACACAAACAAATGGTAAGGCATTCCATGCTTATGGTTTGAAAGAATCATTATTGTTAAAATGGCCATACTGCCCCACACAATTTACAGATACAATGCTATTCCTATTAAACTACCAACATCATTTTACACAGAATTAGAAAAAAATAAAAGATTCTAAAATTTATAGAGAACCAAAAAACAGGAAAGGGTTTTAAACAATTTTTCACAGTTAGCTATGAAGAATCAAAAACTGTCATTTTTCTTCTTGGGGGTTTTATTTTAAAATAGGACAATATCTTATGGAACTAAGTATCCTATAGAAGGTCAGATAACAGTGAACAGAAAAAAAAAAATAGAATGGGTCAGCTGAAGATTATAAGCATTAGAATTTTCTGTTATTCCAAAATCAAGTCCTGACATTTGCAACCTGAACTATGTATTAGATATATTCCTGAAACACAATGGGAAAATAAGGCACAGATTAAATCCACAGTTAAGTAGTACAAGACTACTCTACTCCCTATTTCTATACTGCAGTGTTATTTCCCTATTAGTATTTACTTCCAATTCAGAAGTCTCTATTTTGTGGTACTCGTGTCTCTGGTCTAGGACATCTTTCTCCAACAAGAAAGACAAACTTGTCACAGAAAACTTGGAATAAAAGACTTTCCCCTAAAAAGCTTTAAAGCTATATATAAAAAACACCTATAGTAAATACGATTATTTCAATTTAATATCAATAATGCTTAACATATTAGTAGAAAGTTTGACTAGTATTTAGATAAAAGAAAGACGAAAAGGATGTTTAGGAATTAGAATGGGAGTAATAAGTATCACACTCTTTGAAGAAAATATAAGCTTAAACAAAAAAACACAAACAGAACTATGAAACACATATTCAGACTAATAGGAACGTTCAGCAAGATTATGATACCTAAACATATATAAAATAAATTTATTGGAAATTTTCTATTACTGTAAAATATGTTATTTTTCTCATCTTTATTTTAACAAAATCTATTGATGATGCCAGTTACCTCATTCACTATCACCCATTTTTCTTTATTTTTGAAGTAAAACTACCTTTTAAGAGATGTCTAAATTTGGTTTCCTCTTCCCTCACCCTGACAAAGAAACTATTCAGGCTCTTCCAGTCAAGAGTCTATCAACATTCTTCCTATCAAGGCCACCAATAACCATGATATTATTAGATCCATTTGTCAATTCTCAGTCTTCATCTTTCTCTACTTCAAACTTTTATTTTTCCTCTTATCATCATATCACTCAATCTGTCTCCTTTGCTGTTTACCTCTCTTCCCCCTCAACCTTTTACTAGTGTCTAGTCCAAGAACCTAAGCATGATATATTTTTTTTTCTTTCTCTACAGTTACTAATTTGGTGATCTCATCAAGTCTTATGAGTGTAAGTGACATGTTGTTAACTTGCACATTTACAGCTTTAGTTCCAACGTTTCTTCTGAGCTTCACATTTATATAACCTATACAGGATTTTGTATTAGGAAATGATGAAATAAGAGCTGTAATTTTTCTCTAAAAATTAGTCTTACAGGAAAGTGAAAGATTAATTGGTGATCTCTTCATGGTGACTTGTTTAATGATTTATTTACCAAATAAAAGATAATAGTATCTCTGGGAAGCAATACACTGAGTCTGAAATGCCACAGATGGTGTTCAAATGGCCATATGGATTTTAAAAGAATATACCTATTATTGATAACAGAGTTGAGATCCTAGAAAAAATAAATATTTTGAACTGTCTTGAATTATTTAGAGTGTTGAAGTCATGTGGCTTAATAGGATTTGGGGGTTTTCTTAAAATGAGAAGTGAGAGCTCCCTGTCCAACACATGATCATATAAGACTACGATGCAATTGGAGAATACATTTACAAAGCAATGAAAAAAAAAAACTAAGTAGCTGAAATTCAAAAATAGTCTGATGGGTCCCTAAATGACTTCAATAAGAAGTCATAATTATTACATGACTGTAGAGGGAGAGATTGAAGAGGAGCATTAAACTTCAACCCAAAATAGTCTGTATTTGTTCTTTTATTGTTTTCCTCTGGCAAACTGTTTAATAAGAATTGGTGAGTGTTGTGATGTTGGTGTTAAGACCATTTAAGTATTATTGCATCTCAGAGCTAAAGGAGACTCTTTTATGCCTTTATAAGATGAGTTTGCTAGAGAAAAAAGAAGAGAGGGAGGGAGAGATTAATTATGAGATAAGTAGAGAATAGTCTCCATGGGGTAGCAAACAAGCAAACATTTCAAAGAGTTGGAAATTGCAAGCAGAAGACAGATTAAAAAGAGGCCTAGATAATTTATGAACTGCACAGGAAATTCTGAATAATGAAGATATGACTGTAAACTAAATAAATGTACAGCTTCTTTCTGTGTATGCCAAAAACTTACTAAGAGAAGTCAGTGTTTACATGAGCAGAAAAAGTACATTCTACGTAATGTTATTCTAACATCAACTATGTTACGAACTGAAAATTAATTTAGCTAATCCCTACAGTAATACACTGACATGTTATAAATTTCAAGTTCAAACAGTTAAATCTATTTATGATTACAAATTTTTTAAGTCTAATGCATAAACCCTCTCAATGCTAAATTAACAGTTTGATAAGCCTAAGATGAAAATGTTTGCATCATATTTTGATCTATTTGCAAGGTAGGGACTTCATGGTCTAAATTACTTGAGAATTTATGAAAAAAAAATGTTGAATCACAGCTCTTATCTCTTGCCATTAATTCTTAAGAACTTATTAAAATTATTCCAAAGCTTCTTTGCATGGTAAATTATACTTTTTTCCATGTAAGAGCACCTGATTGATAAGCTTTTACTTGTTAATTATGTAAAGGAACCAATTAAAAATATTATTTTGATGCACAATTGTCTCTGAAGGTGTTAGGGTTCTAATGGTAATGCAAGGACTTCTCAAATTGTTATTTATAAATAGTTGATACACAAGTAATATAACTACAAAAAGCATCTGATAATGTGGCCATGTGTTACAAAATTGTTACATGTGTTCATATAAGGGACCACCTGAAAAGGCTTAGTGTGAGCAACGAGGCTGTTTATTCACTTGGGTGCAAGCGGGCTGAGTCTGAAAAAGGAGTCAGCGAAGGGAGGTGAGATTATCATTGGTTCTTTCAGGTTTGGGATAGGCAGTGGAGGCAGGAGCAATGTTTTGCATGCAGGGAATAGATGTTACAAAGTACATTCTCAAGGGTGGGGAGGGTGTATTGTCACAAGGATGGGGAGGAATGTTACGAAGTACATTCACAAGGGCAGGAAGGATGTACTGTCACAAGCAGGGGGAGGAATGTTAGGAAGTACATTCAAAAGGGTGGGGAATATCACAAAGTACATTCACAAGGATGGGGAATATCACAAAGTACATTATCACAAGGGCAGGGGATTGTCACAATGGCTTGACTGTGGTGGGGCCAGCTCATAGGGCCTTACAAGAATGAAATAAATTCTCACAGCTAAAATAACAACAACAACAAAAATTAAAAGCTCTGCAAAATGTTAATGAACTAAACTCTTAACAACGTTTTAAATAGAGCATAAATGCTCAAATATCTAGCTGAAATTATCTTTCCTTTTAATTCATTTAATATTTTACATAATGAGTGGCTTTTGATTTATATAAAATAACAGATTCCATCTGTTCTCTATTCTAATTTGTATCTTGGAACAATAGAATATCACCAGGTAAATATAACTCAAATATTGGGATATAAGTTTACTTTCATTAAACATAATTAAAGATGGAACAAAATGAAAAATTTGAGGATTTTCTTATCACAAAAGTCCACAATATTATTTCCCCTAGCTATGTGTTATGGATTGTAATCATTTCATTTGCAAGAAAAATATTTGACATGGTTTGGCTGTGTGTCCCTGCCCAAATCTCATCTCAAATTGTAATCCCCATTTTACAGGGGAGGGGCTTGATGGGAGGTGACTGAATCATTGAGGCAGACTTAACCCTTGCTGTTCTTGTGATGGTGAGTTCTCATGAAATCTGGTTGTTTGAAAGTGTGTGGCACTTAGGCCTTCTCTCTCTTTCTCTGGCTCCACCATGGTGAGTTATGCTTGCTTCCACTTCACCTTCTGCCCTGATTGTAAGTTTCCTAAGACCACCTAGCCATGCTTCCTGTACAACCCGTGGAACTGTGCATCAATTAAACCTCTTTTCTTCATAAATTGCCCAGTCTCAGGTAGTTCCTTACAGCAGTGTGAGAACAAACTAATACTGAAAATTGATACCAGGAGAGTGTGGCCCTATTATACAGATAACTGAAAATGTGGAAGCAACTTTAGAACTGGGTTACAGGCAGAGGTTGGAACAGTTTGGAGAGTTCAGAAGAAGAGAGAAAGATGAGGGAAAGTTTGGACCTTCTTAGAGACTTGTTGAATGATTTTGATCAAAGTGCTGATAGTGATATGGACAATGAAGTCCACACTGAGGTGGTCTCAAATGGAGATGAGTAACTTATTGGAAACTTAAGCAAAGGTCACTCTTGTTATGCTTTAACCAAAGAGACTGTTAGCATTGTGCCACTGCTCTAGGAATATGTGAAACTTTGAACCTCAGAGAGATTATTTAGGTTATCTGGTGAAAAAAATTTCTAAGCAGCAAAGCATTCAAAATGTGACCTGAGTGCTCTTAACAGCATGCAGTCATATGTGTTCACAAAGAGATGGTCTGAAATTAGAACTTATGTTTAAAAGGGAAGCAGAGCACAAAAGTTTGAAAAATGTGTAGCCTGACCATGTGGTAGAAAAGAAAAAAAAATATTCTGGGGAGAAATTCAAGAAGGCTGCAGAAATTTGCATTAGTAAAGAGGGGCTGAATATTAATAGCCAAGACAATGGGGAAAATGTCTCCAAGGCATGTCAGAGACCTTTGCCAGAGCCCCTCACATGACAGGCCTGGAGTCTTAGGAGAAAAGTGTGGTTATGTAGGCCTTGCCCAGTGTCCCTCTGCTCTATGCAGCCTCAGGACATGATGCCCTGCCCCCAAGCTGCTCCAGCACCAGACTTGTCTAAAAGGTGCCAATGTACAACTCACGCTATAGTTTCAGAGGGTGCAAGCCTCAAGACTTGGTGACTTCTATGTGATGTTGGGCCTGCAGGTGTGCAGAAGGCAAGACTTTGGGAACTTTTACCTAAATCAGAGGATGTATGGAAATGCCTGGATGTTTAGGCAGAAGTCCCTTCCCTACTTTTGAGGTTTTAGGATTCAGACTAGCTTTCTTCCTCCTCAGCTTGCAAATGGCCTGTTGTTGGACTTCACCTTGTGATTGTGTGAGTCAATACTCCTTAATAAACTTTCTTTTATATGTAAATCTATCCTATTAGTCCTGTCCCTCTAGAGAACCCTGACTAATACAGAATAGAAGCATTTATCCAATGCCTGTACCCCTATTGTATCTTGGAAGTAACTAACTTCCTTTTGACTTTATCAGCTCATAAGCCAAAGGAATTTACATCGTCTCAGATGAGGCTTTAAACTTGAACTTGGGTTAATGCTGGAATGAGTTAAGACTTTGGAGGACTGTTGGAGGTTATGATTGTGTTTTGAAATGTGAGGACATGAAGTGTGGGAGTGGCCAAAGCCAGAATGATATGGTTTGGCTCTGTGTCCCCACCCAAGTCTCATCTTGAATTGCAATCCACACGTGTTGGGGGAGGGGTCTGGTGGGAGGTTATTAAATCATGGGGGAAGACTTCCCCTTTCCTGTTCTGAAGATAGTGAGTGAGTTCCCAGGAGATCTGGTTGTTTGAAAACATGTGATACTTTCACCTTCTCTCTCTCTCTCCTCCACTATGGTGAGACATGCTAGCTTCCCCTTTGCCTTTTGCCATAACTGTAAGTTTCCTGAGGCCTCCTAGCCATGCTTCTTGTACAGCCTGTGGAACCATGAATCAATTAAACCTCTTATCCTCTTATCCTCTTATAACCCAGTCTCAGGTAGTTCTTTATAGCACTGTATGAACAGACTAATACAATGTTACAAACTAATGTACCTGTCTATACAAAAAAGTATTTCCGAGATTTCAGCTAAAATTAGAAATATAATGATACCTAGGCTGAGTGCAGTGGCTCACACCTGTAATCCCAGCACTTTGGGAGGCTGAGGCAGGTGGATCACAAGGTCAGCAGTTTGAGACCAGCCCGGCCCATATGGTGAAACCCCATTTCTAGAAATAAGTTAGCTGGGTGTGATGGCACGCACCTGTAATCCCAGCTACTTGGGAGGCTGAGGCAGAAGAATCACTTGAACCTGGGAGGCCGAAGTTGCAGTGAGCCGAGATCGTGCCACTGCACTCCATCCTGGGCAGAGTGAGACTCAATCTCAAAAATTCATAATAAAATAAAATAAAAAATAGTGATACCTAAAAGCATTGTATATTTGCAAGATACTTAATGTGATTTCACATTCATTTTCACTTGAGCCACACACTAAGCAGCCAAGGTAAATGGGACAGGTATTATTTTTCTTTAGGTCTACAAATAAGAAAACAGATTTGGAGAAATTAAGGGATATATCACATCCAACCTAATACAACCTCTGAAAAAAAAAATAACTTTTTACTCAATCTCTGTTAAGTATCACAGAATATGATCAACTCCAGATAACTGCAAAACATGTCTTTGTAGATTGTATTCTTAAAAAGACCAAATTACATTTATGAATCACATCATACTTACGTTGTTCTCATTGATTTTCTGTTGTGTTTGTGTGTAAAGTGACAAATATCTTTTGAAGAAGAATACTCAGTCATATGTTAAAGAAATGAGATATAAGTCACTTTTAAGATAAGGAGAAAAGAAAGTCAATTATTCAATATTTTTAAGTAATTATTACTGGAATCACATATTGATAAAGCCATGCTGTATCACATACCACTTTCTAATAATTAAAATACTCTTAAGTACATAAAACACAGTTGTTCATAATCATATATTGTAAGATTTGAAATCTGTTACAGGTTTTGGTTAGCCTCAAAAGTAGTTTAGGAGTATTCGCTGAGGAAAAAGTAATTATCCTTTGGGAACAGAAAGCAGGACAACAATTCTAAGGACCGTGAAAGCAGATTGAATGAACTGCAAAAAAAGATACAAGTAAAATATTATGCCTGTCTTATTCATCCTATGTGTGTATAAAACAATACAACTTTTCTAGTAGATACTTAATTGAATGGACAGCTTAACTAAGGACAATGAGAAAAATATCCAAGTTACTAAATCAAGTTTCCAAACGTTTCTAAATTTCTTTATAAAATGAAACAATCCTATGAAACAAATTTAAAAATACATTGACAGTTGAATGAGTTTTTCAATTTTATGATACAGCGAAATATTTTTAAAGTACAAATTATATTAAGCATGATTTTGACTACATTTCTCCTTTGTATTGTATTTCCTTTTGAAATCAATAGAACATGAAAGAATTTAAAGATAAGCTCAATGAAAATTTGTAATATATCTCTATAGAAATCCCTGATTCATTTAAACATTGACTTTAATTTTTATCTGGTTCTAAGAACAGTTATATTTTAAATATTAAGATAAAAATATAAATCTTTATATACTAAATTTAGAATAGTCTTTGTATTTTCTGAAGGTACTTCCCTTCTACAGAAAAACAGTAAAATCTTTACTACAAATTGATTGAGTTAGATGACAGAAATAATGTTCAAATTTCAAAAATTTATTTTATGTCAAATGATCCAGTCCAGTATTATGTGAATATTTTGTTTTTTGTATCTTCCGTATCCTTAAATCTGTATGTTTCTGAAATATTTTATTTACCTCCAAATATTCTGTAGAATTTCTTTCAATTTTGATTTACCTAACATTCTTTATGTTCAGAATCAGATTATGAAAATTTGGTAGGAATATTGTAGAAACAATGCTGTGTTCCTTTCATTGCATTCTATTGGATTTCTACCACCACTCTTTTTTTAAACTTTTAGTAATTATTTTATTGTTAACTTTTGCTTTGTTCAATTTATTTCATCACAAGTGCTATGGTTTAAATATGGTTTATGCTACCAAAATTTATGTGTACGATTGGTCCCCAGCGTGATGGTATTGGGAGTTTGTGCCTTTGAGTGGTGTTAGGTTGGCAAGAGGGATTAATGAATGCCCTTCTCACAGAAATCAATTCTTACTTTCATGGGCCTGAATTTGTTGCCACAAGAGCCAGTTATAAAATCTAGGCTGTCTCTCCGGTTTGATTTTTTTTTTTTCCTGCAAAAAGAGATTCCCTTCTGTTTCTGTGCCATGGTTTAAGGCAGCACAAAACCCTCACCAAAAGCTGTCAGATGCAGCCAATCCATCTTGAACTTCCCGGCCTGCAGAACAGAAAGCTAAATAATTTAATTTTTTAATAAAGTACCTAGTCTCAGGGATTCTGTTATAACAACAATAAGTGTACTGAGACATTCAGTCTGCCTGTCCCTGAGTCAGCTTGTGAGTGTTTACAACAGTTGCTAAATCACTGAAAACCATTCAGGAGCTAAGTACTTTTTCTTTTTCTTTCTTTCTTTCTTTTTTTTAAATAATTTTAGTGTTTACTTTAGATACAAGGGATGGAGAACATTTGCAGGTTTGATACATAGATGTGTTGCTGAGCTTTGTGGTACAGAGTCTATCATCCAGGTTTGAGTGCATGACAGAATAGGTAGTTTTTCAACCCACATATTCCTCCCTCTCTCCCTTCATTAGAAGTTTGCAGTATCTATTTTTTCCATCCTTATGTCCATGTTTCCGCAATGTTTTATTCCCACTAACAATTGAGAACATGGGACATTTGGTTTTCAGTGTCTATGTGAATTTGCTGAGGATTCCATGTCTTTGCTATTGTGAACAGTACTGTGATGAACATACATGTGCATATGTCTTTTTGGTAAATTAATTGATTTTCCTTTGGGTATATATTTAGTAATGAAAATGCTAGGTTGAATGGCTTCTCTTTTTTAAGCTCTTTGAAATATCTCCAAACCACTTTCTACAGGGACTAAAATAATTCATTACCACCAACCATGTGTAAAAGTTTTCTCTTTTCTCCAGTGCTTGCCTACATCTATTATTATATTTTAATAATACCCATTCTTACAGGTTCTTACAGGTGTGAGATGGTATCTCATTATGGTTTTGATTTTCATTTTTCTGATGATTAGTGATATTGAGCATTTTTCCATATATTTGTTGGCTACTTGTATGTCTTCTTTTGAGAAGCATCTGTTGATGTCCTTTGCCCACTTTTCTAAGGGGTTATTTGTTTTTTGCTTGTTTATATTTCTTATAGATTCTGGATATTAATCCTTTGTCACATGCATAGTTTAAACACATTTTCTCTCATTCTGTAAGTTGTCTGTTTACTCTGTTGATAGTTTCTTTTGCTGTGTGGAAGAAATTTAGTTTAATTAGATCCCACTTGCCAATTACTGTTTTTGTTGCAATTGCAGGAATTAACCAAAAATTATTTGCCAAGCCTGATGTCCAGAAGGGTATTTTGTAGGTTTTTTCTTTTAATAGTTTCAGGTGTTACACTTAAATATTTACTCTATTTTAAGTTAATATTTATATATGGTGAGAGGCAGGGAACCAGTTTAATTCTTCTGTATATGGCTAGCCAGTTATTCCTGAACCATTTATTGAATAAGGAGTCTTTCCCCCCATTTCTTACTTTTGTCAGCTTTGTTAAAGATAATGTGGTTGTGGGTGTGTGGCTTTATTTCTAGGTTCTCTATTCCATTCCATTTGTCTGTGTTTGGTTTGGTACCAGTACCATGCTGCTTTGGTTACTACAGCCTTGTAATATAGTTTAAAGATGAGTAGCGTGATGACCCTGGCTTTGTTCTTTTTGGTTAGGATTGCTTTTGCTCTTCGTGCTCTTTTTTTTGTTCCATATGAATTTTGGAATAAGTTTTTCTAATTCTGTGAAAAATGACATTGGCATATTTATAGGAATAGCATTGCATCTGTAAATTGCTTTGGGAAGTATGGCCATTTTAACAATATTAATTCTTCCAGTCCACAAAAGTGGATTGTTTTTCCATTTATTTGCATATTCCATGGTTTCTGGCAGAAGTGTTTTGTTGTTCTCCTTGTAGAGATCATTCACCTCCTTGGTTAGATTTATGACTACACTTTTTTGTTTGTTTGTTTGTTTTCTTTTGTTTTTTTGTTTTGCTATTGTAAATGGTATTATGTTCTTGAGGTTTGGGGTACAGATTCTATCATCCAGGTTTGAGTGTATGACAGAATAGGTAGTTTTTCAAACCATACATTCCTCCCTCTCTTCTATCACTAGTAGTTTGCCGTATTTTGTTTCTATCTTTGTGCCCATGTGCCCGCAATATTTTATTCCCACTAGCAAGTGAGAACATGTGCATTTGGTTTTCAATGCCTATATGAAAATTTTTCAAGCTGTGAATTTTTAGCTTGAAAATTTCTGGTGTATAGAAATGTTACTATTTTTTGTACACTTGTTTTGTATCTTGAAACTTTAATCAAGTTGTTTATCAGTTACAATAACTTTTTGTGGCATCTCTAAGGGTTTTCTAGATATAGAATCATATCATCAGGGAAAAGAGATAGTTTTATCTATTTTCCTATTTCAATACCTTTTTTTTTTCTCTTGCTTGATTGCTTCGGATAGGACTTCCAGTGCTATGTTGCTTAAGAGTGGGGAGAGTGGGACTCCTTGTTCCAGTTCCTAAGGGGAGTGCATCTAGCTTTTGCACATTTAGTATGATGTTGACTATGGGTTTTTTATAAATGGCTCTTATTATTTGAGGTATCAATCAAACTTCAGTCTCTAGCTTGTTGAGGGTTTTTTGTCATAAAGCAATGTTGGATTTATCAAATGCTTTTTTCCACACCTATTAAGATGATTATACGGTTTTTGCTTTTCATTCTGTTTACGTGGTGAATCACATTTATTGATTTGTGAACGTTGAACCATCATTGCATACCAGGAATAATGCTTACTTGATTGTGGTGCATTAACGTTTTTTATGTGCTGCTGGATTTAGTTTGATAATGTTTTGTTGAAGATTTTTGTACCTATATTCATCAGGGATATTGGCCTGAAGTTTTTGTTACTTTTTCCATTGTGTCTCTACCATATTTTGGTATCAGGCTGATGCTGGTTTCATTGAATGAGTAGAAGAGTCCCTCTTCAATTTTTGGAATACATTCAGTAAAACTGGTGTCAGTTCTTCCTTCTAACAGAATTTGACAGTGAATCTACCAGACTGAGGACTCTTTTTTTTTTTTTTTGGTTGGTTGGTATGTTTTTTCTTAATCCTGATTCAATTTTGTAACTTGTTATTGGTCTGTTCAGGTTCTCATTTTCCTCTTCGTACAATCTTGGGAGGTTTTGCATTTCTAGGAATATATCCTTTTCTTCCAGATTTTCTAATTTGTGTGCATAGAGTTGTCCATAATAATCTCTGTGACCTTCTGTATTTCTTTGAGATCAGTTATATCATCATCAGTCATTTCATATTGTATTTATTTTGATCTCCTATTTTTTTCTGTGTTAATTAAGGTAGAAGTCTCTCAATTTTGTCTGTTCTTCCAAGACCCAACTCTTGGTTTAATTGATTATTTTTATTGATTTTTGCAACTCAGTTTTATTCAGTGCTTCTCTAATTTTAGTTATTTCTTTTCTTCTGCTAGTTTTAGGATTAGTTTGCTCTCTTTCATTCTAGTTCCTCTATGTGTAGAGTTAGATTGTTAATTTGAGATCTTTTTAACTTCTTGATGAAGGCCTTTAGTACTGTAAACTTTCCTCTTAACATTGTTTTAGCTTCATACCAGAGAGTTTGCTAAGTAATGTCCCTGTTTTAATTAATTTCAAATAATATTTACATTTCTGTCTTAATTTTGATGTTCACCTAGGAGTTATTCTGAGCAAGTTGTTTAATTTTCATGTGTTTGTCTTGTTGTGAGAGATATGCTTGATATTGATTTTTATTTATATTTCACTATGGTGCAAGACTGTGCTTAGTGTAATTTTATTTCTTTTTAATTTTTTGAGACTTGGTTTATAACTGAGCATGTGGTCAATCTTAGAGTACGTTTTGTGTGCAGATGAGAAGAATGCATATTATGTGTTTGTTGGGTGGGATAATCTGTAGATATTTATTAGGTCCAATTAATCAAGTGTTGAGTTCAAGTCCAAAATGTCTTTGCTAGTTTTCTGCCTCAGTGATGTGTCTAAAGCTGATAGTGAGGCTTTGAAATCTTCCTCTATTATTGTTTAGTTATCTACATCTTTTGTATTTCAAGAAAAACTTGTTTTATAAATCTTGGTGCTTCAATGCTGGATGCATATCTATTTAGGATAGTTACGTCTTCTTGTTGAATTGTACCTTTTATCATTACGTAGCCCTTCTTCTTCCTTCTTAATTGTTATTGGTTTAAAGTCTGTTTTATCTGATATAAGAATAGCAACTCCAACACTTTTTCTTTTTCTATTTGCAAGGTAAGTCTTTCTCTATCCCTTTACTTTGAACTTGTGGATGCTATTACATATTAAGTGGGTCTTTTGAAAATACCAAATGGTTGGATCTTGTCTCTTTTTTAAAAATACAGCTTACCACTCTGTATATTTTAAATGGGGGCATTTAGGCGACTTACATTCAGTTTTAGTACTGCTATGTGAGACTTTGATCCTGTCATTATGCTATTAGCTGGTTCTTATGGAAAGCTGATTGTGTATTTGCTTCACAGTGCCTTTTGGCTATGTGCTTAAGTGTGTTTTTGTGATAGCAGGTGTTATTCTTTTGATTCCATGTTTAGTACTGCCTTAAGGACCACTTGTAAGGCTTTTCTAGTTGTAATGGATTCCCTCAGCATTTGTTTGTTTGAGAAGAATTTCATTTCTCTTTTGCCTATGAGGCTTAGTTTGATGGAATATGAAATTCTTGGTTGTAATTTCTTTTCTTCAAGGATGCTGGAAATAAACCCCAATCTCTTCTAGCTTGTAAGGTTTCTGCTGAGATGTTGGCTGCTATCCTGATAGGGTTCCCACTGTATGTGGCCTAACCTTTCTATCTTCTTTTAAGAATGTTTCTTTCACATTGACCTTTGTGAACCTTATGATTATGTGCCTTGGAGATGGTCGACTTTTATAGTATCTAGCCTCGGTTCTCTTTATTCTTGAATTTGTATGTCACCCTCTCTATTGAGATTAGTGAAATGTTCATGGACTATCCCCTCCAATATGTTTCCAAGTCACTTACTCTCTCTCCTTCTCTCTCAGGAATGCCAGTGAGTCATAGGTCTTATCTCTTTGCATAATCCCGTATTTCTCAGAGATGTTGTTTATTTTTCAATATTCTTTCTTTTTTATTTTTATCTGACTGAGTTGATTTAAAGAACAGTTCTTCAATCTCTGAGATTCTTTCCTCAGTTTTTTTTTCCTGCAATTAATACTTGTGATTATATTATGAAATTCTTGTAGTGAATTTTTCAGTTCTTTCTTTAAATGCCTATTTTGTCATCAGCTCCTGGAGATCATTATACTGGGTTTCCTGGCTTCTTTGGATTGCATTTTATGTTACTCCTGAATATCGATGAGCTTACTTACCGTACAGATTCTAAACTCTATGTCTGTCATTTCTGTCATTTCAGTCTGGTTAAGAATCATTGCTGGAAAGCTAGTGGGCTCATTTAGAGACAAAGGAATGCTTTGGCTTTTTGAATTGCCAGAATTCTTGTGCTGATTCTCTTTCTGGGAGAGCTGGTGTTCCCTTAATTGTGGGGTTAGTTGAGTACAGTCAGTCAGGTTCTTATCCAGGTGCTTTCAGAGGGCCAAAGCTCTGTATAGGATCTTTGTGGTTGGATTTTTGCCCTTGGTTTCACAGGGGTGTTACACAGTCACTCAATACTTTAGGTATTGTAGTTTGAGATGTAATCCAGTAGATGGCGCTTAAAATTAACGGTCTGTAGGCTGTTACTCGGCCGTGCAGCTCTTTCGTATTTCTCTGCATTCCCAGGCCTGCTCTGCAGTGGGAAGGGAGAGATGTCCTCTGACCAGGTCAACTCTGGGCCTTTGGAGACCCCCCTCCGGCCCCAGTCACTGGCGCCACACCTGCATTTCCTTTGGTGTTTTGGGCCAAACAGGCCGCTCCAAGAAGATAGGCCACACCTTTTCTGGACTGGCACTGCGGAAGGAGGTATGCTCCCGTCCTGCACCGTCCCATGAACCCATGCATCTCACTCCTCACAGTGCTCTGAGAGTGGGGCCTTCTCCCCCACTTGGATGCCAGCCACAGACCTTGGTTCAGCCCTTGCGAGCTGTATGCAACAGCCCTGGGACGTGAAACTGGCCCAGCTGCTCTGGGAATCCAAAGGGCTCCCACGTTGCTGGGAATATTGGGAGCAAATCACCCAGGCTGGGCTGTGGAGTGTGCGCTGTGCACACACTCTTGCGGTATGGCCAGGGAGGGACCTTGGAAGGGACTGGCATTCAGGAGTGCCGGCAGAACAGATGTGCCCCTGTCCTCAGGTAGAAACTGACTTTGCTCTCTCCTGGCCCGCAGTCAGCTGCTACTAGAGTTTCTTGGAGGACGATGGTGGCCGCTAGGGGGATGGGCACCTATAGCCACATTCCGCAGAAACTGTTCCATGAACAAAAGCCCTTGGGCTCCATGCCGGCCGAAGCTCTGACTCCTCCTACTCTTGGGCAGATCCCCTGCAAGCTGAAATATCCAATGGGGACATGGAATCCTCTGTAATTAAGAAACCAGCAGTCTGTGGCAAGAATGGGCTGTCCCTCAGTCCCTTCACTCACCCATTTCCCAGGAGCCCTCTGGGGCTGGGAACTAGCCCTAGCATTTGAGTCCCCAGCACAGGATTTCTAGCTTTCTCCCTCTTCAGCCTCGGAGTTTGCATTGCTTCTTCATCCTCTGAATTGAATACCTGCTCAAATTATGTTGGTTTACATGATATTTTGCTCTCTCTTGGTGAAGGCAGCGCTTCCTGGCTGGGTCTAGTCGGTTATCTTGTCCCCCTTCTCTACCATCATTCTTGATGTTAACTTTGACAGCTTGATTAAGGTGCTCTCTAGTAGCCTTTATCATTGCAAAATTGGGTTGTTGTTGTTTTTTCCATTTTGAGTACCTATTTCATGGGGAAATCCTTTGTGTAATAACTTATTCCTCATCAAATATTTTACACACCAGTTTTAGTACACATTCACAAATATATTTCTGCATTAATCTTTACTCTGAAGGTTGCCAAATGGTGATTTTTAAATAGGTATAAATGATAGAGATGCTTTATAAAAAGAGATATACTTTAAATTTCAAATACACTATAAATGAGATCCTGTTATATCTTTCATTATATAATCTACTTTTATTTTAATACATAACTTACATTTAAATCAATTAATACATACTTTTAATGGCTACATTGTAGACAGTTGCATGTAGTGTGATTTTTAGAACAAAAAATTTATATTATCTTTTGTTTTTTATAATATAAACAGTTTAATATTGAACATTTTTATACAAAATTTTTAAACACTAATAAACATTTTAAGATAAACTGTCAAGAGAGAAATACCAATAACACATTAATATGGTTTGGCAGTGTCCCCACCCAAATCTCATCTTGAATTGTAGTTCCCATAACCCCCACATGTGGTGGGAGGGACTCTGTGGGAGGCAATTTAATCATGGAGGTGGTTACCCTAATGATGTTCTTGTGATAATGAGTTCTCACAAGATCTGATGGTTTTATAAGGCGCTTTTCCCCCTTCTGTTCTGCACGTCTTCTCTCTTGCCTGCTACCATGTAAGAGGTGACTTTGCTCGTCATTCGCCTATCGCCATGAGTGTGAGGCCTCCCCAGCTGTATAAGAACTATGAATCAATTAAACCTCTTTCCTTTATAAATTACCCAGTCTCAGGTATGTCTTCATTGGCAGCGTGGGAACAGACTGATACACACATTTCCACCTTGGCTTCCAAGAAAAGCATATATATATATACTTTTATATATTATATCCCACCTATAATAAACAGAAGTATCTCTGTACAAGCTTATGAATAATGCATTTTTTTGATTTCTTACAAGCACATATAGATTACATAAAGATAAGTGGCATTTACCGTTTTATTTTATTTGATCACCAGTGATGTTGAATTTTTATTTTATAATCATGTTTTGTGATTATTATTTTTAAGAAATAATTGTTTATATTCTTCAACCATGTCTTATTTTGAAATAATCTTCTTTTTCTCATTGACTTATGTGAATTCTTAATATATTAATGAAAAAATCCTCTCATATTTATATCAGTTACCAATTTCCATTCATATTTAATGTGGTTCACTGTGCTTTTAAATAATTTACTAAGTTTATAATTAACTCTATCAATCATGAAAGCAGGTGTTTCCCATATCTGCTGATGAAATTTCTGTTTATTTTTAGTTAATAGGTATAAAAATATTTCTCTTTTAATGCTTTTTCTACAATATTCTATTTGTTCTATGTTAAAATATTAATCTGCTTTATTTTTATTTTTTAATTCTTCACAGCCCCTGTATTCTTAAGTGGTGGAAGAATTTGCACCTGTGGAGCAAAGTGTTCTAATTTTTTTAAAATTCTAATATGTAATATATTGATTGTAAACCGTCATTGTTAAATCTACTTCAGTTACCATTACAAATATCATATTTGGCTTTTGTGTTGACAATATATTTTTAAGTTTTTAGTTTATCTTTTCTTATTGTTACCATGTTTTCTTATTCATCTTTGTCTTACTCAGATTTATTTCCTTCTAATCATTTTTTTCTTTAGTCACTTTAAATTGTATTATATTTCAATATTTACACTATTAGTTATCTTAGTATTAATATTACTGTAATCAAATTTTAAAATGATTCAATATGTAATTTTTGGCAATAGAATATTATCTACTTTTTATTTACCATAGTGTTTCACATATAAACTCAGCCAATTAACAGAAGAAATTTAGTGTTCATTTCCTCTCCTCTATCTTGTAGTTATATTAATTGATGTACTTTCTTTTTCTTTTTTGATCTATTTTAGTAATTTTGAGTTTATATGCAAATTACTTCCTTTGACACTTTGCTGGCTTAAGTCTTATATTTTACAAATTTTTGAGATTTAAATTAATTTTCATTATTCTGCTATCTTTAAGCTTTACTGATTTCACTGAGGACAGTCATATTTGGAATACAAAGTTTCCTTACAAGTTGATTTTTAATTTTTATTTATGTCTCACTTTATCGAAGTAATGCTTTACATAACTAACTCAGGAAAGGCAATTGGTGAAATCTTTTCTGTTCTTGCATTCCTGGAGTTTTATTATTTTACCAACATATATTTATAATAACATGTTTTAGCATGGAATATTGGGTAAACTATGAGGATTAGTTGTAATGTGTCAACTTGACTGGGCAATGGGATGTCCAGATGTTTGATAAAACATTATTCTGGGTGGGTCTGTTGGGGGGAGGGTTGATGAGATTAACATTTGAATCAGTACACTGAGTAAGGCAGATTGTCTTTCCTTATGTGAGTGGCTGTCAGTCACTCAGTTGAAGGCCTTAACAGAACAAATTGTTGATCCTCCTGTGAATAAGAGAGAATTCCTCCTGCCTGACTGCTTTGAACTGGGAAATCTGTCTTTTTCAGTTTTCTGAATTAAACTGAAACATTCGCTCTTCCTGAGTATAACTGAGTAGAGGCTAAACATCCCTAATCTGAAAATCCAAAATTTGAAAAGCCTCACAATCTGAAATTTTTGAATGCTGACATGATGACATAAGTAGAAAATTTTACACCTGACCTCATGTGACAATTTGCAGTCAAAACTTTTTCTTGCACAAAATATTAAAAATATTGTATGAAATTCCTTCCAGATTATGTGTATAAGATATATATACACACATATGTTTAAGAAAATTGAAACATATCTTCAAAAAATTGTATATGAATCTACAGATTAAACAAATGTGGATGTCTATACAATGAAATATTATCCAACTATATATATATATGAAGTATTAATGCAGGCTACAACATGGATGACCCTGAAAATAAGTAAAGTAAGTAAAAAAAACCTACTTACAAAAAGCCATATACTGCATGATTCCCTTTACATGAAATGTCCTGAATAGGCAAGTCCATAGACAAAAGAGATTAGTTGTTGTGTGGGACCGGGAACAGCAGAGAATAGAGAGTGGTTATTGATGAGTATGAGATTTCTTTAGGGGATGATAAAAATGTTTTGAAATTAGTGGTGATGTTTGCACAATGCTTGAATGTTCTAAAAGCCACTGGACTTTACACCTAAGACAGTGAAGTTTATGATATATAAATTAGATCTCAAAAAAATCATTAAATATCCTCCATATCAGGCACTGTTCTACTATAGAAATTATAGCAGAAAATAAAAGAGACAAGGTTTCTATTATTATGCTTACATTTTAGTTTAGTAGAGAAAGAAAAATGAATAAACAAAGGTCTAAAAGACCAAAAGAAATCATATCATGCTTAGTGATGATAAGTACTGTTATTGACTGAATGTGTCCTCATGCTAAATGGCATATGTTGAAATCCTACCCCACAATGTAATGGTAATAATCATTCGGGTCTTTGGGTAATTAGTTCATGTAGTTCATGGGTAACTAATTACCTTTGGTTCACTAGGGTAGAGTCCTAATGAATGGGTTTAGTGCCCTTATAAAAGGAAGCCCAGAGAGCTCTCTGGCCCTCTGCTCTCCACTATATGAAGAAGTTAGTAGTTTGCAGCCCAGGTAAGGGCCCTCTCCTGAACCTGACCATGCTGGCACCGTGATCTGGGAATTTCAATCTCCAGAACTGTCAAAAATACTTTTTTTAAAATAAGCCATCCACCATCCACCCAGTCCATGTCACTTTGTTATAGCAACTTGAGCTACAACAAGTGTTATGCCAAAAAAATAAAGAGGTAGAAGAGTAAAATGATAAGTACTAGAGACTGGATATGGTGGTAGGGAGATGAAGAGAGGTTGATTAATGGGTACCAATACACAGTTAGTTAGAAGAAATAAGTTCTAGTGTTCCATAGCAAAACAGAGTGACTAGAGTTAACAACAATCTATTGTATATTTCAAAATAGTTGAAAAGATTTGAAATGTTCCCGTTATAAATAAATGATAAATGTTTGAGGTAATTGATATATTAAATATCCCAATTTGATAATTACACATTGTATGCATTTATTAAAATATCACATGGACCCAATAAACATGTACAATTACTATGCATCAATTTTTTTAAAAAAGATGATGTGATAAGAGTATCTGGAGGACAGCCTTCTACAAGTAAATGAAATATAGGCTAGGTCAGAATCTAAATGAAATGAGCTAGCCATGGCAACATTTAGGGGGATGACATTCTAGGCAGAAAGAATATCTAATATACAAGGCCCCATTTGAGACTGAACCTAGCAAACTGTAAGAACAATAAAAAGATGGACATGGCTGGAGAACACTGGATGAGGGAGGGAGTGCAACAGAATAAGGTATAAGCATTAGGCAGGGACCAGCTTGAGCAGAACTTTGACATCCAAAGTTATAAGTTTGGATGCTTTTCCTTAGCAACATGGAAAGCCAATGAAAGTTGTGAGAAAAAAAAAAAAAAAAGATGAGGCAAGACAGGCAGGACAGGACCAGATAGGTCAGAACAGGAAATGAAAAAAATGCAGAATAAATAGATGAAGCCTAATAGACATTTCAATAGCATAGACTGTTGAGTTTGGAAGCAGCTAGAGAAAAGGGAGGGCAGATTTATAAGCATTTTGAGTGGGCTGGAAAAGCCTTTTCAAGATTTAGACTTAGCTCTACCTATGCTTAGAATTATATTCTTAAACACACCTCTTACTGTATTACCTGCATTGAAAATAAAACCTCAGCTTTCTCATCTCTAAAAAATAAATAAATAAATAAGGTTAACCTCTGACTTTTCCATTTCATCATCTTATGGTAAGGAATAATCAGAAAAAATGTATACAATATGTATATAAAATTATATATAAAATGCATTTCAAGCTCTGTAATAACATATAAATAGGCAGAAAGCAGAGAGGAATAGCATGGAATTTGTAGGAAGATTAAATTGACTCCCAATTTTAGGATTGCCTCTTACGATCTATGTATTCTGAGAAGTTTAATAAACTCTATGAGTCTCAGTATCTTTCCCTATAAAATGGTGGTAATAATATTAACTACTTGAGTTTTAAAAAGTGTCATGATAAGGTACATAAAGCACTTAGCACAAAGCCTTGCACACAGCAAGTATATAATAAAAGATATATTTTAGCGGTGGTGGTGGAAGTGGTTATTGAGGTGGTACTAGTAGGAATAGCAGTAGTAGCGCCAATCAAACTGCCCTCATGAAAATGCTTCAGGACAGTTTGCATATAATGCATGCACTATTTGTTTCATATTCTAAAATAAACTTCCTATACTTGCCGACTAAGAATTTTATTCATAATTGTAGCATACCTTTCTCTTATTTCAACCTAATCTAATCCCGATTTTAATTCATGAAAATGAAGAAAAAATATCTGAGAGGTGATTGAACTTATCTTCCATTTGTAGGTGTGCATATTTTGAAGTAGCTTGAAGTAGAGAAAAGAACATACATATTGGGTTCAAAAATGACATGATTATATCATCTTTAAAGGATGTTAAAATAGATCAAAATCCCAATTCCCTCATCCGTAAAATGGCAGCAATACTATCTGATGGTGTTGTGTGGGATTAATTGTGGTATACTATATAAAGTTCCTGAACATCACCTGGCACATAGTAAATACACAATATATAATAACTCTTTTTATTATATCTTAATCTAAATCTCACTTCTATCTTCTACTTTTAGAGGAACTGTGAAAATCATTTTTATATTAAAGTGACAATATTTTCCATATCAGTTCTTCCTAAAGAGAGTGAATTGAGTATTTATCACTAATTTTTGATCACTCTTCCTGCTGTCTTGGTCCTTTTGCACCTGATAAAATCTCCAAAATGCATTCATTTTATACTAGAGATCTGAAAATCATATCAAATGCTTTATTTCCTGGAGTTTGGATTAATGCAACTGTAACCATTGAAGTTTCTCTCAACTGAATTAATAATCACTTAATCTTTTGCTGAGCAAGAGCTTAATGCTTTCCTGTTACTCTTGTTCCTTCAAAGAAACTTCAAAGATAAAAATACTGCCTAAGTATTTTTATCTCCTTTTACCTTCCATAATCTTCATGTTTCTTATCTTTGATGGAAACAAATAAACAAT